>NC_000013.11:85285935-85438775 GCF_000001405.40 Homo sapiens
AAGAGAAATTTGAACAAATCACAGAAGAAACTGATAATCTCCTTCCCTCTTTGACCAACCTTTCAAAGACGCCACGTCTGTAAAGTAGCAAATGGCAGTAATTGGAAGTCTACCTCCAGGACAAAACTACCTCTTGCTTGATTTTGGACTCATATCTATTTATTTACTTATTATTAATTTATGAACCTATATTATCTGAACTAAGATTTCAGAGTAATTAACTTGGGGAGTTGAAGCTATATTTATTATTTCATTTATTCCATGTGGATTTCTTCTACACATAAACATCCCACTCACAGACTGGCAATTCTCAGTGGTGAAAGGGAAGTTATGCCAAGAAGATGATGTGATTATGGCAGTGTTTCCTGGAAAATATTTGTGGTTTTAAAACCAGCTGATTTTTCTTAGGAAAGGAAAAACTGTGGACACTTTCCCTTGTGCCACAAAGGTTAAGGTTGGTTAACGTAAATTTCAAACTGACTCTTTTATATAGTTCCAGGCTTGATGGACAATGGGTGCCAGTATTTGAATAACTGGAATATAGATAATGTGTCAAAAGTATTATAAAACTATATTATAGAATATGATGCTGGTCTTTTACCACAATGAAACCGTAGGTCAGTGCTTTTTCACTTTGATCAATAAATCAAAACTGGGGAAATCATAAGTTTACCATGCCTCCCCCCTCTGCCCTCCTAGTTATCTGTTGTAATGGGTAGTATTTTCAACCAATACTAAAATGACACTGAGTTCTATAGGGCAATAGAAAAAATGCAAAAACTGGTTTATTGAAACCACATACTATAATGAGGTCAGAAAGAGAGAAAGTTTATTTGCATTAAATGAATAAAGCAAATGTAGGTTTCTATCACCCCTGCATCACAGTGCAATGAAATTAAGAAATGTTTCATTATAGCACCACAACAACAGTTAAAAAATATGTTGATGTTGAGAACCAGAGATATTTCTCTCATATTTCTAAAGAAGACATATGATACATATGATATAATATTGGAACATGCCCAGAAAATTATTCTTAGTTTCAATCTAGTAATTGTTACTTTAGAGCTCTTCCCTATAATACTCATTAACATCAAACATAGCAAATCAGTTTTAACTTATTAAAAATAAATTATGTGTATATCATAACTGTAATCTAGTTAATTCCAGGTTTTACATGATGTATAATAATAGATCCCAGGATTTGTGACATCAGGGAACAGTAACATTGAATTTTAATTATGAAAGAAGTCAATAGAATGGCCAAGAAGGGACACAGAAATATATTTAATATATATATTATATATATATAGTAGACATATATCTATAGTAGATACATGTATATATAGTATTCTACTATATATACATAGTAAATATAGATATATAGTAGATATATATGGTAGAGATATATATGGTAGCTACATAGGTAGTCTCTAAAATCATTACCTTTGTTAAGGAAAATGGAGATGGCTTTATTATACATAGTTTTATCTGGTTGATTTATTGCCTTATTTTCTTTTAAATGCTGTGCTCCTCTCCTTTGCACTATCTTCATTTTTATGTGCTTAATTTGAATTAATTTTTGTTTTATTTTACTTACAGGTATATTAGTCTGTTCTCACACTGCTATAAAGAACTACCTGAGACTGGGTAATTTTTTAAAAAAAGAGCTTTAATTAACTCACAGTTCTGCAGGCTGTACAGGAAGCATGGCTGGAGAGACCTCAGGAAACTTACAATTATGATAGAAGGAAAAGGGGAAGTAGGCACATCTTCACAATGGTGAGGCAGGAGAGAGAGGAGGGCAAAGGAGGAAGTGCTACAGACTTTCAAACAACCAGGTCTCATGAGAGCTCACCTCACTATCATGAGAACAACTGCAGACAACCACCCCCATGATCCAATCACCTCAGGCCTCCCACAACATTGAGGATTATAATTTAATGAGAGATTTGGCTGGGAACACAGAGCCAAACAATATCATTCTGCCCCAGGCCCCTCCCAAATCTCATGTACTTCTCACATTTTAAAACATAATCATGCCTTCACAACAGTCTGCCAAGTCTTAGTTCATTTCAGCATTAACTCGAAAGTCCCAAGTCCAATCTCATTTGAGACAAGGCAAGTCCCTTCCATCCATGAGCCTGTAAAATAAAAAAGAAGTTAGTTACTTCCAAGATACAATGGGCGTAAAAGCATTGGGTAAATGTTCTCATTCCAAGAGGGAGAAATCAGCCAAAACAAAGGGGTACAGGCCCTATATAAGTACAAAACCCAGCAGGGGAGTCATTAAATCTTAAAGCTCCAAAATAATCTCCTTTTACTTTATGTCTTATATCAGGTCCACACTGATGAAAAAGGTGGGCTCCCAAGGCCTTGGGCAGCTGCTTCCCTGTGGCTCTGCAGGGTACAGCACCTGAGGCTGCCTTCACAGGCTGGCATTAAGTGCCTGCAGCTTGTCCTGGCACACAGTGCAAGTTGTTGGTGGATCTACCATTCTGGGGTCTGAAGGATAGTGGCCATCTTCTCACAGCTTCACTAGGCAGTGCCCCAGTGGGAACTCTGTGTTGGGTCTTCAATCCCATATTTTCCCTCCACACTGCCCTAGTAGAGGTTCTCCATGAGGGCTCTGCTCCTGCAGCATACTTCTCCCTGGACATCCAGTTGTTTCCATACACCCTCTGAAATCTAGGCAGAGGCTCCCAAACCTCAATTCTTGCCTTCTGTGCACCCTCAGGCCCAACACCATGTGGAAGACACTAAGACTTGGGACTTGCACCCTCTGAAGCAATGGCCCAAGCTGTACCTTGGTCCCTTTTCACCATTGCTGGAGCTGGGGTGGCTGGGAAGCAGAGCATTGTGTCCCAAGGCTGCACAGAGCAGTGAGGCCCTGGGCCTAGCGCATGAAACCATTTTCCCTTCTAGGCCTCCAGGCCTATATGGGTGGGGCTGCTGGAAAAGTCTCTGAAATGCCCTGGAAACATTTTCCCCATTGTCTTGGCAATTAACATTTGGACCCTCTTTACTCATGTAAATTACTGCAGGTGGCTTGAATTTCTCCCCAGAAAATGGGCTTTTCTTTTCTACTGCATGATCAGGCTACAAGTTTTCCAAACTTTTATACTCTACTTCCCTTTTAAATGTAAGTTCCAACTTCAGACCTTCTCTTTGTGAATGCATATAAGAACATGCTGTTAGACGCAGCCAGCTTACTTCTTGAACACTTGGCTGTTTAGACATTTTTTCCAACAGATACCCTAAATCATCTCTCTCAAGTTAAAAAATTCCACAGATGTTTAGAGCAGTGACACAATGTCGTTAGTCTCTTTGCTAAAGCATAGCAAGAGTGGCGTTTACTCCAGTTCCCAATAAATTCCTAATCTCCATCTGGGACCTCATCAGCTTGGCCATCTCTGTCTATATCACTATTAACATTTTGGTCAAAACCATTCAACAAGTTTCTAGGAAGTTCCAAACCTTCCCTCATCATCCTCTTTTTCTGAGTCCCCCAAACTACTCCCATTACTCAATTGCAAAGCTGCTTCCACATTTTCAGCTATATTTAAAGCAATGCACTACTTATCTGGTAGCGATTTTCTGTATTAATCCTTTCTCATACCACTATAAAGAACTACTCTTAGACTGGGTAATTTATGAAGAGAATAGGTTTAATTTGACCCACAGTTCTGCAGGCTGTACCAGAAGCATGACTGTGGAGGCCTCAGGAAACTTATAATTATGGTGGAAAGTGAAGGGGAGGCAGGCACATCTTCATAATGGCGAAGCAGGAGAGAGAGAGAGAGAGAGAATAGAGAGAAAGTCCTACACATTTCCAAACAACTAGATCTCATGAGAACTCACTCACTATCATGAGTACAACAAGGGGGAAACTGGCCCCATGATCCAAACACCTCCCACCAGGTCTCTTCCCAATATTGAGGATTACAATTCAATGTGTGATTTAGTTGGAGCCAGACGAATTCAGCAGGATAGGTATTTTTCCTTTCACATGTATTTAATTTAAATGCTATTCCAATTTTTGTGTTTTGTTGTACTAATACTGTGTTTAGAGGTTCAATATTTTTCTTCATTGACAAAAAAATCAGACCCTTGTTAATGTTTCCATTAGTTTGAACATATCTGCTTACAAAAATAATCAAAGTATTATATTTTCCTCATATTTCTCATTTTACCTTGAGTCAATGGATACTTTTTTTTAATGGAATGGCTCTGTCCCATGTTTCGTTGCTTGGAAAACACTGGATTTTGGAATAAATTCCTCTGTATCATTCAGTTAATGCTTCATAAACATACTTATGTTCGCTAAATGTTTGATTAACTGATGTAAACTGTATGGCTACATAACTGAATAGTTAACTCTATGATTTTAAAGCTGGAGAAACCTTAAAATGAGGGCTTATCTAAGAATATTTCTTTTTGATCAGTGATTGGTCTGACATTGGAATGGTATGGCAGTACCCCTCTTTCCAATATTTGTACTGCCAAATCTTTAGAGTGCTGTTTATCTTGTGTTTTTCCTTCAGGCTTAAAGCAAGTCTTCAAAACACATGTTATCCAGGCATACTGCATTATTTGGCCCAGGCATCTGGGTCTTTGTAAAATAAAACTAAGTTACAATTAAAACTGAAAATACAAGTAAATGGACATTACAGTTTTGCCACTCTAGCCACCTGACCAAAAACCTAGCTATTGGGTTGTTTATAATTCATATTCCAAAGTATTTCTAGGTGCCTGTATACTGACAGAACAGGCTCTCCATGAAGAGTGTGTCTCAATCCAAAACTATTTAACTTTTTTTTTTTTGACAGAGTCTTGCTCTGTCACCAGGTTGGAGTGCAGTGGCACAATCTCAGCTTACTGCAACCTCCATCTCCCAGGTTCAGTTGATTCTCCTCAGCCTCCTGAGTAGCTGGGATTATAGACATGCACCACCATGCCCTACTAATTTTCTTTTTTTTTTTTTTTTTTTTTGTATTTTTAGTAGAGATGGGGTTTTGCCATGTTGGCCAGGCTGGTTTTGAACTTCTAGCCTTAAGTGATCTGCCCACCTCAGTCTTTAAAAATGCTGGTATTACAGACATGAGCCACTGCGCCCGGCCATGAGCCATGAACCTGGCCTAACTCTTTAACATTTCATCAGTAATGCCAGGGTTTCCAGGAATTAGTGCCATGATTATTGACAGATGTTTTTGAGACTTAAGCATATTATACCCAACAAAGTGCACTGCTGTTTAAATGTGGTATTGCCTCTTGGTGATTAGTTTCTACAGTGTGGATTTTCATTCTTGATTTTCTATCTCTATCACAACTGCTTTAAGCTGGATTATTTACTTGCCTTCTCCATTTTCATTTTGTCTGTTATTTAAAAGATGTGTAATTTGGGAAAATTACATCCTCTCCCATGGATATAATTTTTATGTTTATAGATTACCTACCTACTCACATAATCTCATATGCCTATTAACATTAAAAAACAAGTTGCATTATTCTCTGATTAAAAGACAAATTTATTGCTTTGAAAATACAGGGATTATATTCTCACTCTCTCATACAGTAGACCTATACAAAAAAAGAAATATTGAAATGTAACACCTTGCTAGGGTTTTGCTTTTCCACATTTTTCTTTTAACAAGTTATGCTTTCCTTGAATTTAATGGAGACATCAAACACACATGATCACTCACTCAAACATACACCCATAGGATATTTACTTAATACCATTGGTGTTATGGTTATGCTTATGACAAATGATCAGAAGCTTTTCTTTTATATCATACTTACAAGTATGGAAAACTCCATCCTCGGGAGTAATATAACATATAAATCTATTGTTAAGAATTTCAAAAGACTTTCATCTTATGCTACACACACTTCCAAATTTTTCCCTCAACCCTAATGGGGCTAGAGAAGAGAAGTTGATCTATTCTATTTTTCTGACTGGCATAGAAGGTAACAAAGGCAATTAAGAACTGGTGATTAAGTCAATCTCTAAAGGATGCCTGCATTGAACTTTCTATGGATTCTAAGAAAATCTTAATATTTTGGAAAAATAATCATCATAAGTCAAACCACCTTAAGTCTGGGACTATCCATTTATCCAAAAATATGTTGCAATAAAACACCAGAGACCATATGATTTTGTAGAAAAAAAGTCATTTGCAGTCTCTCAACACCAAAAGGAAAACGGTTCATTTACTAAGTGGTTTTGCTATCAATCTACAGCTTCTTTTTAAACTATACAACAAAATAGTTTCCACGTGTATTGAGAAAAACAATTCATAAAATACATCTGCATACCAATAAAATTTGCACTGCATCTGATTGTAGTATTTTAAAGGGCTTTCTAAATGCTATAATAACATAAGAAAGGGTAAATATAATTGATATATAAAGCATAATGTTTATATAAAAAACATAGACATTTAAAATACATTGAGAATATGTGAGAACAATTTTGATAATACATTTTGTTAAAATGAGAAAATAATGGAAATGGAGACTTTTCAAGTGTATTAAGTAACATTAAAATTTCAAAAGTGAATTAGTGAGATGTAGAAGCAGACAGTATATGATTAAACTAGTGCAAATGACCAGTAGCTTTACAAATAAAAATATAAACATGCTAATAAACGAGCATGTACTGATAAAGGCCAGTCAACTGAACAATGAAGTATCAATTTCCATCTATCTTCTAATTTACATACTATAATGACAGTCATTTTTTAAGAAGCCATTTGGAAATACATGTTATGATCCTGTAAGGTATTTATATATTTTGAGTATATGAGAAGGAAAAATTTACTGATGCAGCCAGTTTTTAAAATGACTTAATCACTGTCATATTTATAACAAAAATAATTTTATAGAAGCAAATATCTAAAAGGAAAATGTTTAACATCATTTCAAAAATTTCAAAAGTATATTGGACCATATTAACCATATAAAATAATATTAAGTAGAAAAATAAAAAATAATGCAACAACTAAACTCTCTATTCATCTTGACTGAAAATACACACACAAGAGAACAGGAAAACATTATATATGGGTGGATAGGTTCTGCTTGGGCAGTTCTAGAAGCAAATATGAAGTGCTCAGCGACTCCTAGATGGACAATAGACTTAGCAAGGCTAATAATATATATACTTAATATTATGTGACAATATTTTTGGCAGCACAATTACAGTTTGTAATCAGTAAAAATCTTACAGTTTTATCATGAATTTCTTATGATTTCTAGGAGCCAACACACATATAGTAACTACAAGGATACCTTACTATCTAGAGCACACCATGTTCTGTTGATAGAGCTCTAAAGGTCTTGTTAAAAGAATTGGGACATTTTAAACCTGGGTAGTATATTAGAATCACGTGGAAGCTTTTGAAAATGAAGTCTGTCTGGCCTCACCTGAAACCAATTAATTCATAACATTTAGGAGTAAGGCCAGGTCACAGAATCTCCCTGGGTGATTCTAATTTTCAATTAGGCTTGAAAGAAACTAACACTGAATTATAATCTTTGCTTAGATCCCTGAACTCTTAGACCTTAATGTGACATAGTTGGAACACAGACTCTAAAACTAACATGTCAAGTCAACCCTTAGACTCTATTTCTTCTAATCCAAAGCATCTTCAAGCCCCCAAGAGAAGGAGTAAAGATGCATACAGGGAGATATAAGGCTGTAGAGATGAAAAATCACCTCTCCAGTAGTGCCCAAGACAGCTGGCGTCCAGATTGAAGCTGATCACATGGCAGGGTAGCAGCAAGAAAAGAGGAGGGCTAAGGAAGCTTACAGTTACGTGAGTCTTGGAAAGGTTTTCCTGTTATTCTGCACTCTGTAATCCTTCAGTCTTCTACTGTTTTACAAACTAGTAGACCAAGATAAAAGTGCATCAGAAATCATGTGTTTCCATTAAATTTCTTTGAATTTCTGGCTAACCAGCTCAAGCCGTGGCTGAAAAACAGACTGATTACTTGTAAAAAAAAAAAAAAAACTAAACTGAGTTTCAGTTCAAACGAACAGGGCTTTTCTAAGGTAAATTATACCTGCATAAACCTGCATAGTTGAGTGACTTTTTGCTTCAATGAAGAGAAAAAATATCTAAAATACACATATATTTTATGAAGGAATAATAGAAACTGTATACCTTTGAATCCCTGGGGTAGAAGTCTTGTAATTTAGCCCCAATTTTCCCCTCTAAACTACCCATAATGCTTGCTAAGATCTGAGTCTCAGGCACTTTTGGCAACAGTGTTATATTTGAGGTGTTTGTATATACTTGACATTATTGATAAAATATTGTGTGGGGGCCTATTTTTCCCATAGTAGAAAAAAAACACTAAACATCTTAGAATATACTTAATTTGATATAAAGCAAGGGATCTAATTTTTCTCAATGTTTACTTCCTTTAAAGCAACTACTTCATTTAGAACAACTTCCTTTGAGCAGTATATATAAATAAATATATATGTCAGGTTCTAATTGAGATCCGAGGGGAGTCAGTGTGTGAGTGGCAGGTAGCTGGAAGAGCACTCAAGGAATCGTAGAGTCTCCAGCCATGTCCAGCTCTCTGCAGATGCTGGATGTATCTGCCAAGGCAAGCAGCAGCTGCTGCTGGAAGGGGGAAAGTGCAGATCCAACAGTTGGAAACATGGGTCACCTCAGCATAGGTGTGGGCCCCGGCCACAATGCAGTTGAAGCATGTTAACCTACAGTCTAAATGTCAGAGCAGGCACAGGTACTAACAGAAGTAGATCACATCCCTCAGGCAAAATACAGGCTAACTTTCCATCCCTGATGGAAACAATGCAACTGCCTGGATAACAATGCAACTGGATAACAATGCAACTGCCAAGGGCTTTGCCCTGAGTAATGGTACCACACCTTCTCAGCTCCCCATGGTTCCTTTGAGTCCTGTTTCTGTGCCAAAGTCATGGGGGAGCTCATAATAGGCCACACAGACAGTATATATGTCCCCCGGAGGAGGGTTTCTTCTCTGGTCATTCCCCTATGAGCAGTCAACCACGGGTGCCATGTATTGAATTGAATACCCAGGGAGTGACATGCAAGCCATACTGTAGGCCCTCCCCACAGGGAGCTACAGTGGCCAACCACCAACAGTGGGGTCTCAGAGGATAATAATTTTTGTTTTATTGTTTTATCTCTGAATATTAGCAAACTGTGTAGTGTCTTAGTATATTTCACAATTTGTCTTGACTAAGTAATCACGAACAGCAGAAATTGGAGAGCATTGTTAATAAGTAGTTGCTTTCTTGGAATTATAGCCTAACCTGTTAGAATTTGGTATTATGTCAACCTTTTTCATAAAGTCTGAGAATCCAAATTCACATCAATTGGTTTGAAACTGACTAATTTCTCTTGTTACAATAACAAACAACAACAACAACAACAAATCAAGCCTTCTGTGCCTGGGACAACAGTTAGCTGAGTAAGTCTATGTCCTTATCAGGATTTAATGAATAGCTGTTAGTTGAAGATACATTTTTTTTTCTTCAGACAGAGTCTCGCTCTGTCCCCCAGTCTGGAGTGCAGTGGCATAATCTTGTCTCAGTGCAACCTCCGCCTCCAGGGTTCAAGCGATTATCCCACCTCAGCCTCCTGAGTAGCTGCGATTACAGGTGTCTGCCACCACGCCCGACGAATTTTTGTATTTTTAGTAGAAATGGGGTTTCACCATGTTGAACCAGGCTGGTTTCAAACTTCTGACCTCAGGTTATCCGCCCACCTTGGCCTCCCAAAGTGCTGGGATTACAGTAAAGATACTTTTCATACTCAGAAGTATGTGAGCATTAAAATCTCCACTGGCACTCATATTAATACAGCTATTACTTTTTAAAAATATAAATGATTTTACTTCGTATGGAAGACCTGAGATAATTGAGGGTTGAGGAAACATCTTTTTTCTATCTGCTCAGCATCTGTGCATCTGACTTCTATATATGATTTTAAATATTGAGATAAAGAATTGTAATAACATACCACTTTATATTTGGTTTTAAAAATTATATAAATTCCCAGGTTTTTTTTTTCTTCGTGAAAGCTAGAGGCCCAGTAAACTGTTACTCTTACTGTCTCCTGTCACATCCTTTCTCATAAAAGCGATTTTTTTCCTTACATGTCAGATCTTCACTTTAGAGAGAGCTGAAATTGTAAAAATTCTGTAATTTGAGTAAATTTATTAAGTGGTTACTAACAAAATTAGGAGGATAGTTTTTAACAATTGTTCAACATGGAAAAGTAAGCTTCCCTGTAGAAAATGTAAAAATAAAAAAATGCATATTAACATTTGGTTAACGAATAGATGCTATGCTCTTATTAGTAAATAATAATAATAATAATAACGGCTAATGCTCTTCTGGGGCCTTCTACATTCTAACTCATTTTATTAGTCTCATATCACCTCCTGAGATCGGTCAGTGGTCATCTGCATTAGAAGGATTCACCCAGATCTTGAGGTTGAGGGGTGATGAAGGAAGGCACGATTCTGCAGTACTATCTCATGAGCTAACTCAGATACATTGAGTTTGAATGTGTTGACCTGCAAAGCTAACAATTTTATTTTAAAAATTCTAAGGTAAATCTATTTTTGTAAAACTAAAGTTTTAAGCAGCATTTTTTAACTTTACTTATCCTATTTTCCAAAATAACAGCTTACCTGCCCAATAGATGAAAAAGTAGAAGAGAAATTCAATTTTTGTCTGAATAATTTCCATGTCCCTGAGTTGAGTTTAACCAGAGATAAAGAACAGTGCTCTTAATTTATTTTTTACTTTTAATTACAAATAATTTTCTAATTTTCATTCTCTTTTCAAAGTTTCTTTTAAAACTTTAATTTTCAATCTACAGATAAGGCTTATACTACTTTTTAAATAAAAAATAACCTTAAAGTTTTATAGTTGTAAATTACAAATGCTTTCAATTAAAAGGAAATTTTATTCACAAGCTTTAAAACAAAGAACTAGAGAGTTATAAAGTTGCATAAGATTGTACAATATCAGGAAAATTGGATTTTAATCCAAAAATCACTTAATGTTTCTTGGTAAATTAAACTCCTCTGGAAGAAATTGAATTTTTAATGGTTTTAGTTTAAACATGACTATATATTTTATTCATTTTGCAATAGTGCACTTAATACAGAGCAAAATGGGCAATAAGCAAGACATTTAATTCACACAGACAATTGAATTTACCACAAATGCTAAAATGGGTGACTCTTTCTAAAGACCATATATTTACTTTGTTACCCAGGTAAGTTGTTATCTACACTAGTATTTGGAAGACAGTTAGATTTATTTTTAAATTCTTATAGTTAAAATAAGTAGTTTCTTCAAATAAGTTTTTGTAAAACACAATACTGCAATTATATGCATTTTAAATGTTCTATTATATTTAGACATTCTAGATCTGTCTCTATGTACAATTTCTAATATTCCTGTAACCTATTTTAGTATAAACTTTTTAAAATTTGCTTTTAATAGTGATATGGATATATTTTCTTTAACTCTAATTCCTTTAAGTAATTTGGGAAAATACGATACTAATGAAATTTAGGTAAAGACTTTTGAAAAGATGAAATGTACATTTTTTTCCAATTTATAATGAAATAATTACCACTAATTGATGTATACATATTGATACTTAATATGTTTGCATATGTGGATATGAATATAATGAGTAGCCAGTTAATTTTAGAACATAGTGTTAGAAATTTTGATCAATCAGTGTTTCCATCATTGTATAATTGCTTTTGTTTAAAATTCATCTACTTTCCTGCTTTAATCAATGATGAAAGAAGTTATACTAAAACCTAATTGTAGCAAAAAGTATTTTTAACTATATGTAGAATATCAACTTTTAAAAATCAAGGCACTTAACTTTCTATGGTATAAATTTTAGCAGAAGTTTGTTATTAAATTCAAGAAATAGGACAGATGTTATTTAGAAACAGATTTTTGAGTCACTGTATTAAAAAGTGCTCAGAGTTATAAAACTTTGAATATAAACACACCACTCATTATAATAATAATAGCATCATAATTCTAGAAATACTGGTTGCTATCTGTCTCTTTGATATGCTGATTTCTTTTCCTTTAGATAAATACCCAGTAGTGGAATGGCTGGATTTTGTGGTAGTTCTATTTTTAATTTTTTGAGAAATCTTCATACTTTTTTCTATAGTGGCTGTACTAATTTACATTCCCATGAACAATGTATAAGAGATGTCTTTTCTCTGCATCCTTGCCAGCAGATGTTATTTTTTGTATTTTTAATAATAACCATTCTAACTGGGGTAAGATGATAACTCATTGTGGTTTTGATTTGCATTTCCCTGATAATTAGTGATGTTGAGTATTTTTTCATACACAATTTGGCCATTGTATGTCTTATTTTGAGAAATGTCTATTTGTGTCCTTTCCCCACTTTTTAATGGGATTTTTTTTTTCTGTTGAGGTTTTTCAGTTCCTTGTATATTCTGGGTATTAGTGCCTTCTCAGGTAAATAGTTTACAAATACTTCCTACCATTCAACGTGTTGTCTGTTCCCTTTGTTTATGGTATCCTTTGCTGAGCAGAAGCTTTTTACTTTAATATAGCAAACATATGGAATCAACTTGTGTCCATCAACAGCCAAATGGATAAAGTAAATGTGTTATATATACACAATGGAATTCTATTTGGCCATAAAAATAATGAAATCATGGCATTTGCAGCATCATGAATGTCCCTGAAGGTCATGAAAATAGCCAGACACAGAATGACAAATTCCACATGTTTTTACTCATATAAGAACTAAAACAGTTGATCTCCTGTTGGTAGAGAGTAGAATGACATATATTAGAGGATGGAAAAAGTGTGTGGGTGGGAGGGGTTGATGAAGAGAAGTTGGTCAATGGGTACAAACATGTAGTTAGATAGAAGGTATAAGTTCTAATGTTAGCAGAGTAGGCTAAATAGAGTTAGCAGTAATGTATTGTATATTTCAAAGTAGCTAGAAGAGAGAATTTGAAATGTTCCTAATACATAGGAATGATACTCAAGGTGAGAGATATCCCAAATACCCTGACTTGATCTTTATATTCTATGTACGTAAAATAGCCAAATGTACCCTATAAATATGTAAAATATAATGTATCAATTAAATAATTTTAAAAATGCTGGGTATTGCCATTAATAAAATAAGTTTTAAATACTTAATTTCTCTTTACTTTATTCTAAATTTTTATTTTTATATATTTTATCACATGCATAATATACAGTTATATGCTAGAACGTATTTATAATAAACATGTACTATTTACATGGCTGAATATGAGCAGTAAAGAAAATATTCTTTAAAAATAATTTAAACTATTTCTTAATTAATCAACTCATCATATTTTTCTGTAATTTCCAGAGGAGCAGGGACCTTTGCTAGTTTTGGTCTCTGATGCATCCTAAAAACCCTAAAAGATATGTGATAAGCATTCAAAAGGCTTTGTGGAAATACAAACAAAATTGCGTTTAAAAGTTTCATGGTGGTTGCTGTATATATATATTTTGATCTATAGTATTTGATCAACCAAAATTTATTCATCCATTTCCCTATCTAGGGACATTTGAGTTGATTCCAATTGCTTGTTATTACAATGGATGCTGTTATGAACATCTTTGTACATGTATCTATGAACAACCAAACGAAAATCATAAGAAAGTATATTTACTTACTTGTTGGTTGTTCTTACCTCATTGAGTCAAATCAATGCATATTTTCATGAAAGTGTACTCATGGAGCTCAAGCTACATACTGCCAAGAAATTTTGAGATGTAGGTAAGTGGCCTTCATGTGTATCGTCCCATGTTATAGGTAGTTATTTCATTTTACAGATATATGTTATTATTCAATATTAACATATCTATAAAATGTTATTATCTATAATATATTTTTGATTCCCATCAAAAACTTTTTATAATGAGGTAAAGACTTGTTAAGCTCCCAGTCTCAGTATTTCTGTGATCCATCCTCTAAACTATTTAATTGGTATCTCCAGGCGTCATTTATCAGGCGAAGTGAAATGCAGCCTGTTTCATACTGTCCTTCATTGTCTTACATATAGACTGTTCAATTCTAAAGGAAATAGGGATGAGTATATGAAAACAATTAAAAGTAAAGAACAAAAACATGTTAAAGGACCATCCAAAATAAAAACAAAAATATAAAACAATTGAAATGCTTAACAGATTTACCCATTAACATGAAAAGTATTTATTTCTAACTATTCGTGGAACAAATAGAAAAAGAACAGAACCACATGAAAGTAGGAGTAATTTGTTTTCTTCAAAATTTTTAACAGTTTGATTAGCACTGGTCAATTTTTGTGTTTTTCTTGCTGAGGCAGCAGACATCCATACCACAAAACATAAATGAGTGAAATTTGACTTATAAAACATGTTAAGAACAGATGTTACCAGATACTTAGTCATAGAAAAAACAGTGGTCCCATTAACATTTGACATAGATTTATATTTTGCTTACTGGGTTGAAATTTGTATTTTATAATTCTAGTAGTAGAAATACATTTGATTAATAACAGGCAAATGTGAATTTAATATAAGACGTCACAGTTGGGTTAAATCATTTGTTAGAATTCATAATTAAAGCCTATAAATATAATATATTCTTTAGCCCCTTCATTTAACATTAATATAAAATGTTATCTCAATGATTCATTATTTAGTATGATGTTTTAAATAATATCTAAGGAAAAAATAGTTTATAAACATAGGATGGTAGTGTTGATTATGAGGTCAGTAGATGCTATTTCTTTGTTGGGATGACATCTGATTCAAGGGCTAAATCACTTTCCCTCAAGTGAAAGCTCAAGAAGGGCTCCAGAGGCAATTTCTGTTTTACAAATTTAATCATATTAGAGACATTTTTGCTCTTTAGTTCTTCTCAAATTCCAAATTATGCATGTGGGTCTAGAAACCCATAAACATGACTGGCAACCAGTATATTCTGAAAGTAAAAATAATCTTATGTAACATATACATTATTAAATAACCAATTTTCAACTACTATTTAGCAATATAAGTAAATTTTATTTATACATTCTATTTCCAACTAACAGTCTTAGACTTTTTTAACTGTGTTAAAAAAGTACACATTGTTTTCAACTGTGTACATATTGATAATTTTAAGTTTAGAAGACTGTCAATCATATTCTAGACATTTGAATAAAAAGCACATAGAAGGCTGGATATACACACTAGCATGTATCTGTCTAGCCCTATCACTTACTAATCTCAGATAGAATAGTAGGTTTACAAGAACTACTTCTAATTGTACTTCACAAAAGTTATCTAAGTTAATGGTGTTGCCTTATTACAGAATAATAATTTATATTATCTACAAAGTAAACTGTATTTGAAATAAAGCCAATACGGTAAAAAATTAAAATTAAATATATTTTGTTCAATATTTAAATGAGGGCAAAGAATTGTTAGGGAGTAATGATAGTTGTACAAAGTTTGAGTGTAAGTGACACTTCAGTGTTTTGGCTGTAGCAGAGACATTGCTAGGATGTTTCACAGAGAATTACTAGGGTGCTGGCTCAATGACCTAAGGTTCTGATTTTGGTGAGATAACTATCTCACTCACATAATTTATATAATTGAGTGGGGAAGGGGCAAATTTTAGTCTTCGGTGAGAGTCAACAGATCTACAAACCAAACCAGCATGTAGCAATAAGAAAGTAATTGTTCCTCAGTTTCAGTTCGAGCTAGAGTCCTGGCTTCCTGTTTGTTTGTAGAGTTTTTTAATATGAATTTTAATATGTGATGATGGGGTAAGGGTTAGAAAGCCATGAAGAGAGCTATAAAGAAGAAAAAGAATAAAGTGAGCTGAGAACAAATATAGTCATGCTCTCATTTCAGTTTTCTTTTGACTCACCATTAAGTTGGATTTATCATACCCCAGTTTTCAAAAAGCAAGTTGGTTCTATTACAATTTCAGTGCTCCTGCAAACTTGGGGAATAATACCTGCGCCTACATTTACATCTGATTCTATATATCTTCATCTCTCACTCTCTCTCTCTCTCTTTCTATATATATATATATATATATATATATATATATATATATATATATGTAGAAATCTTTAGTCTCAAAAGTATATATAAACTAGCTATAGAAATACAATTTTTGCATATACAAAAATATTTCTTTTTCAGAGATAAACAATTTATTAACAGATAAGCTTATTAGAACCACAAAACACCAAAAACAGGACATTGATACTTTTCAATATAAAAAATTATAATGTGTGTCTAAAACACCAAAAGCAATGGCAACAAAAGCCAAAATTGACAAATGGGATCTAATTAAACTAAAGAGCTTCTGCACAGCAAAAGAAACTACCATCAGAGTAAACAGGCGACCTACAGAATGGGAGAAATTTTTGCAACCTACTCATCTGACAAAGGGCTAATATCCAGAATCTACAATGAACTCAAACAAATTTACAAGAAAAAAACAAACATCCCCATCAAAAAGTGGGTGAAGGATATGAACAGACACTTCTCAAAAGAAGACATTTATGCAGCCAAAAGACACATGAAAAAATGCTCATCATCACTGGCCATCAGAGAAATGCAAATCAAAACCACAATGAGATACCATCTCACACCAGTTAGAATGGCGATCATTAAAAAGTCAGGAAATGACAGGTGCTGGAGAGGATGTGGAGAAATAGGAACACTTTTACACTATTGGTGGGACTGTAAACTAGTTCAACCATTGTGGAAGTCAGTGTGGCGATTCCTCAGGGATCTAGAACTAGAAATATCATTTGACTCAGCCATCCCATTACTGGTATATACCCAAAGGATTATAAATCATGCTGCTATAAAGACACATGCACACATATGTTTATCGTGGCACTATTCACAATAGCAAAGACTTGGAACCAACCCAAATGTCCAACAATGATAGACTGGATTAAGAAAATGTGGCACATATACACCATGGAATACTATGCAGCCATAAAAAATGATGAGTTCATGTCCTTTGTAGGGACATGGATGAAGCTGGAAACCATCATTCTCAGAAAACTATTGCAAGAACAAAAATCCAAACACTGCATGTTCTCACTCATAGGTGGGAATTGAACAATGAGAACACATGGACACAGGAAGGGGAACATCATACACAGGGGCCTGTTGTGGGGTGGGGGGAGGGGGGAGGGATAGCATTAGGAGATATACCTGATGTTAAATGAAGAGTTAATGGGTGCAGCACACCAATAAGGCACATGTATACATATGTAACAAACCTGCATGTTGTGCACATGTACCCTAAAACTTAAAGTATAATAAAAAATAAAAAAATAAAAAATTATAATGTATTATTTTACTGAAACTATATTTTATCCTGTCAATATCTACAAAAATTTAGCCTAGTGAAAATGGCTTTTCTTATTTGATAAAATCAAATATATTTAAAGTAAAAGTATATTTAAAGTAAGAATTTTGGGGATTTAACTATGGCTGCTTTCAAACAGATTGAATTCTACAGTAGGGTTATACTTTTGGCAGTTTACTTTTGTAAAGGATGAATACAACCAATTACACATAATGTTTTATGTTAGACAGATTGTAAGGTTGCCCTCCATAATCTCACCTTCTGTTATTCATGCCTTTCTGTATTATTCTCTACTTCAGTGTAGACAGGACTTATAACTTGGTTCTATGGCTTCTAAACAGTAGAATATGTCAAAAAATATTTCATGTCACTTTCATAATTACATCGTGTTATGTAACACTCCATCTTGCCAGCAAACTTGGGCTCACCCTAGTGACTCTCCTCCAGTGCTTGAGGAAGTAAGTAGCCATGTTGGGGATCCCCATGTGGCTAGTACTGTGAGCATTTTCTAGGAACTGAAAACGGCATACAGCAAGAAGCTGGGACTTTCAGTGCTACAATAGTAGGAAAAACAAATTCTGCCGACAACCTGACGGATTATGGAAGCAAGCCTCCAGATGAGAGTGCAGTCCAGCCTACTCCTTATGAAACCCTTAACAGACAACCAGATAAAGACATGCTTGAACACCTGAGCCATGGAATCTATGTGATAAATGCTTTTATAAACTGTTAAGTTTGCAATAACTTTTTATAGGAATGTAAAACTAATACATCTCCCAATGGAGACATTTTCAAATCTATTCATTGAATAAACCTGTTTTATATGGCTATTCTATGTGAATCAAGAACGATGATAGATGAGAATATATCATCAATGAATAAGATACAATCCCCGACTTTGAGGAGCTCAAATTAGTAAGAGTGAATCATAGAGATAAGTAATATGCAACATATTAAGTGGTATAATAGAATCAAGAAATGAATATTAGAGGCAAGGAGTTATATGTTCATAGGATAGGTTCTTTCAAAACTTTGCATTTATTATTTTATTATTTTAATTTTTACTTATTTTTTGAGACAGGGTCTTGCTTTGTCACCCAGGCTAGAGTGTAGTGGCAATATTACAGCTCACTGCAGACTCAAACTCCTGGTCTCAAGCTATTCTCCTGCCTCAGCCTCTGGAGTAGCTGGAAGTACTGTCACATGCCACCATGCATCACTTTTTTTTTTTTTTTTTTTTCATTTAGAAATAGGGTCTCGCAATGTTGCCCAGGCTGGTCTCAAACAACAGGTATGAGACAGACATATGGTCTCAGCCTGCCAAAGTGCTGGGATTACAGGTGTGAGACACTGTGCCTGACCATCTTGTTTGTTTGTTTGTTTGTTTGTTTTGTTTTAATCCGCAGTATAATCCTATTATTTAAAAAATGTAATTTCTTGTTGAAATCAGGTCAGTTTTACTATACATCTATTCACTCATTTTTTTATGCTATTTAATATTTTTGCTGTATCTTCTGTATTTCCTACACACGGGACTCAGCTTTAAACCTCATTTTGAGTCAGGTTATATTCTTTTCTGCAAGAATGCAGTCACATTGGTGCTGTGTAGTTTCTGTTGTAACATATCAAAATACAAAGTCTTGCTGTCTTCTAAGATATCTGGGAGTTAAGTGGTGACTTATCCCTTCATTATATAATTTCTCCTCAGGCTTTCATCTTCTAATTTCATCTATTAATGATTTTTGCTTGAGTCATTTATTAGTGATTGAAAAATAATGATTGTCTAATTTTCATATTCCTTCCACATTTACTAGTTGAAATTCTTTTGGCAAAGAAAACTTTCTTTCATCAACTAGAGTTATTTGATTACCTTGAGATATAAGTATACAAGAAAGTCAAAATAAATACGTTAATTTTCTCTGTCTGCCAAATTTTAAGATAAGAAGTTAATACTTCAATGATGACCCTCAAATTTTAGAACTACATTTTACTTAGGTCACCTTGGTTTTTTTAAAAAGTATTATTATAAACTTCAGGAATTTTATATCCCATTTGCTTTGAACATATGAATATGTAATATTCATATATTAATAATTGAAACATTATTTTAAAAAATATATAATTTGTTTCATTTCTTAAAGTCATGATTGAAAGTGACCCACTTCCGGGCCAATAGGGTCCTTCCTGTTGATGCCTCTCTCCTTTGACACACCTTCTTGTTTTGTCAGCTTCCTTGTCTTCTGACACAGTGGTCCTAGGATCGCCATTCTTCTGAAGAGCTGTTTATCTAATGGGAAATGGTATTTAGAGTTCACAGTTTTGGGTCTAGTGGTTGGGACACTTGCCATTTAGAGGTTATAGCTTCTTGACCTTCTGAGTGGGCAAATGTAAAAAATAGGAATTTTTGAAAAAAAAACTAAATTTTATCTATTTCAATTTTAACATTTCAGGGCTTTTCTATAATTTCCTTTATTCTGAAAAGCTGTATTTAACCTCTTGAAAATGTTTTTCTTTATATTGATGCATACAATTATATATACAATATTATTTAATAATTTCAAAGTATTACAGCTTTTTGAATTACTGGAAAAAATAAAGAATTGACACTCAAGATCTCCTCATAACTGTTTCTGTTCTTTGACTATATCTCACTATGGATATACAATCAAAATACTTTTAACTTTTGCTTTAATTTTATATTTTAAACACACAAAATATTAGGATGCCTTCAAAGTCTAGTTATATAATAAAATATAATCAGAGATATATCATTCACATCGTTGGCTCCTACACCCTGATCTCATCATTCACAGCTGATTTTCTAATTGTAATACAGAGATCTACTGACTGCCACAAAATCTCACATGCTACACAACTTGATATTCTTTAGACTAGCATAAGCAAAAAACCTTTTTCAATTTTAGACATATTGGTATCACTTCTTTATTTTTTATTATTTTTATTACTATGTTCAATGTTAGTTTTTCTTTTCAGCATTTTGAAGATATTATTTACAAGGGATTTCCTTTCATGATTATTAACATATACAATATCTAGGTTAATGGTGTTATTGAATATGTTTATAAAATATAATGATTAAAAAGCACTAAAATCATTTTTAAAATATTCATTAAATATTCTTTTTAAAAATATAAAAGTATGTTAAACCTCTTTTTATTTTGTCCTTTGTTTTGTTTTTTCTTTTTTTTTTTGAGATGGAGTTTGCTCTTGTCACCCAGGCTGGAGTGTAATGGTGTGATCTCGGCTCATTGCAACCTCTGCCTCCCGAGTTCAAATGATCCTCCTGCCTCAGCCTCCAGAGTAGCTGGGATTACAGGCACCTGCCACAATGCCAGGCTAATTTTGGTATTTTTAGTAGAGACAGGGATTCACCATGTTGGCCAGACTGGTCTCGAACTCCTGACCTCAGGCGATCCACCCGCCTCAACCTTCCAAAGTGCTGGGATTACAGGTGTGAGCCACCACGCTCAGCTGTTTTTCCATTTTTAAATACTTTTAAATATTTGGTCTTTTTTACTTACTGCCATTTTAGCTAACTCCAAAATCAAGCTGTCTTTCTCTTTTAAGAACATTTTGGAGGCTTTTACTTTCGTAAATAACAGTTGAGGTATAATTAAGCTGTGATAACAGTCATTATTTTAAAGTGCACAATTACTGGTTTTTAATTTATTTAGAGTTGTACAACCATCACCATTATCTAATTTTATAGCATCGCATTTTTTTCACCCCCAAAAGAAACTGTACCTGCTAGCAGTTACTCCACAATCTCCCCCAACCCCCCAGGTTCTGAAAAACACTAATCTTTCTTTCTTCATGAATTTGCCTCAAAATATTCCTTTTTAATGAAACTTGCTAATTCTCTATAGATTTTATTGCCATACAAACGGGTAGAGTTTGAAAGATCAAGGAACCAATCAAATCGTGACATCAAGGAAGAATAAACACTGAAGAAACTTAGTGATTATTAGTTGACTACAGTTAGGAAAGTCGCAAGAGAGAAGAATTTTCTTTAGGGGCGTATTGTCCTTTGTATAAAGACTACAAGCTAGTTAGGGATTGTATCAGAGAAATGGCAATTGTCCCTTTGACAAGCCATAAAAAAAAGTGCTTAGGGCAAATCAATCGTTTGAGCAGCAACATTAATATGTTGGGAAAAATGTACTTTTAAAAAATTGAAGCATAATGATCATACATATTTATGGGGTACAATTGATGTTTGTCTCTATATATATTGCATAATGAGCAAATCAGGGTAATTATTATATTTACCATCTGAAACATTTATCGTATCTTTGGAGTGAGAACATTCAAAATCCTTTCTCCTAGCTATTTTGATATGTACCTTACATTGCTGTTAACTATAGTCACTGATATGGTTTGGCTCTGTGTCCCCACCAAATCTCATCTTGATTTGTAATTCTCATAATCCCCACTTGTCGAAGAAAGGAACTGGTGAGAGGTGATTGGATCATGGGGGTGGCATTCCCTATGCTGTTCTTGTGATAGTGAGTGAGTTCCAAGGAGATCTGGTTATTTAGTAAGTGTCTGGTGCTTCCCCGTTTTGATCTTCTTCTCTCTTCCTGCAACTTTGTGAAGAAGGTACTTGATTCTCCTTTACCTTCCACTATGAGTGTAAGTTTACTGAGGCCTCCAGCTAGGTGGGACTATGAATCAATTAAATCTCTTCCTTTACAGATTACCCAGTCTAGGTACTTCTTTGTAGCAGGGTGAAAACAGACTAATACAGTCACCCTACTGAGCAATCAAGCAATTGATTATTCCTTCTATCTAATTGTAACTTTGTAACATTGACCAGCTTCTCTTCATTCTTACCTCTCTGCTGTTATCCCCCACCTCAGCCTCTAGGTAACCATCATTCTACTCTCTGCTTCTATAAGATCAACTTTATTAGATTCCACATATGAGAAAGATCATGTGATATTTGTCTTTCTGTGTTGGGCTTATTTTACTTAACATTATGCATTGCTATCTCATTCATGTTGTTGAAAATGACAGGATTTCATTCTTTTTCACAGATGAATAGTATTCCATTATATAAGTATACATATTTTTTATACATTCATCTGCTGTAGGAGACTTAGGTTGATTCCATATCTTGATTATTATGATGGGAAATTTTTAAATCTAAAAATGTAAGAATAGAGAGTTTTCTAACATGAAAACATTAATATTAGTTTTAAAGAATTAGAAAATGTCAGAATAGTTATAATGACCCAATAGTGGTTTTAAAACTATTTTCTAATCAGTGTGTTTTATTATTATTAAGAAATTATCTTTTTTAACTATAAATTCTTAGTTTTCTTCTACGTTAGTTTGAATGTAACTTGTATTTCCAAATTAACAGTATCAGGATTTATAGAGATTGAGTACCCAAATATTGATTGAATTATCTCATTTTCTGTCTTTGTAACTTTGTCAAACAACAGTATCTTGAACCTCAATGATCTTGTGCATTAAAGAATGATAATGTTTATACTTCATTATAATGTAGTAGGAATAAGGGAGAAAAATAACACATTTTAATTCTAATAATTTTCTTTTCACATTTTACATGTCTGAAACTAGGGTGCAAGTTATAACTGATAGCATCTTATAATTAATTGAATAGATGTCTTCTTTGTTATTTAGATATATTTCACAAATGGTAAAGTTTTGGTTTGAAGTAATATAGTGCATATATTGCCTAATAAGATACTTATCACATAGTAGGAATTCTATAAATGGCAATGATATGATTTGGCTATGTTCCCAACCAAATCTCATCTTGAATTGTGGTTCCCATTATCCCCACGTGTCATGAGAGGGACCTGGTAGGAGGTAATTGAATCATGGGAGCAGTTACTCTATGGAGTTTTCATGATAGTGAGTGAGTTCTCACAAGATCTGATGGTTTTATAAGGGACTTTTCCCCCTTTGTTTAGTACTTCTCTCCCCTGCCGCCTTGTGAAGAAGGATGTGTTTGCTTCTCCTTCCTCCATGATGTAAGTTTCCTGAGGTCTTTCCAGCCATGCAGATCTGTGAGTTAAACTTCTTTCCTTTATAAGTTACCGAGTCTCAGGTATTTCTCCATAGCAGCATTAGAAGGAATTAATACAGACAATATCTATTATGCCAGACTGTTTGTTCATTTTCTTCTGTGACCAGGCACCTGCAAGGGTAGTGTCAAGAAACTGCTGAACTGTTGGTTGTTTATTCAAGTGTATCTATTCTATGTCAGTATTAAAGAAAGATGTATCCAACAAATAAATAAACCAACCAAACAAACAAAAACTGAGTTTTATTCATGTTTGCCTAAATGATTTCTAATTAAAGATCTCATCCCTAGGAATGTCCTTTTAGGAATCTCAGCCTTGGAAAAAAAATGTCACAGACATCTGCATGTGTGTGTATTATCCTTGCTAATAAACTATAATGTCCATGAAGATAGGCATTATGATATGCATCATTAGATCTGTAATAACACAATTTCAACTTGCATATTCTAGGTAACCAATTCTAACTAATACATATGTGAACTTTAGTTCTGAAATAAAACAAACTAATTAAGTAATGCAATCATGAAAAGACATGGAAGAAACTTCAATGCATATTAGTAAGTGAAAGAAGCCTACATGAAAAGGCTCATATGTATGACACCAACTATATGACATTCTCAGAAAGGCAAATCTATGAAAATAGTAAAAGAATCTGTGATTGTCAGGGAATAGTGAGGAGGAAGGAAGCAGAACACAGAGGATTTTCAGGGCAGTGAAAAGAATGTTTATGATACTCCAGTTGTGAATACATGTCATTATACATTTGGACAATTCATCAATTATATTCTCTGTATTTTCCGTTCACTTTTGCTGTGAACCTAAAACTGGTCTAAAAATGTTTATTATGAAATAAAACAAATTCAGAAAAATATACTATATAAAAGTAATTTTTGAATATTGAGCAAATACACACAGTATTTATAAAAATAAGAAAGGCATAAAAATCATGCAACAACAAATACCCTATTTCCTACCAAGCAGTCTAAAAATATTTTAATTATTTTAAATACATTATGGATTCCTTACCTATTCAATTTCCTCTCTCTTTGTGTTTCATCGTAGCTTTTTTTTTATTTTATCGAGTTTTTACCCATAAATAATATGTTGTTTATTTGTGCATGTTTTTAAATACTGCATAAAAGAAACACAGTGCACGTGTATTTTGTTTCTGCCTCTGATCGAGACATTACCTTGTGCTTGTTATATATGTGTATATTTTAAATACAAGTGAAACAAAGCCCTATTAGTATTATAATTTGTTTACATAATCTAGACATATTATAATGAGTCAGTTATTAGACATATCTCATGCGATTTGTCCTCCTGTCTTAGTTTGAATGGAAGCAGGTGTCTCCTCCACCGTGGAACTAGAGAAGGGGGATGGCACTTTCTCTTGACTAGATTCCAAGCTAGATGGCTACATGTGAGAATATACTGAGGTCTCACTTCTGCTCCTTGATGTTAGACAGTGGGAAAAACATGAACATCATCCTATTATATGTGCATAATGAAAGGTTCAAAGAGTAATTTATGCTTAAATGTTTTTTTTTAATTTAACACGGGGTTAACCAATAATAGCAAGATGTGTTACTATACTTTCTCCTAGATCCTTTCTGTGGAAAGCACAACTGACTCTGTTCTCAGTGGACTCTGCTTACGTGGCATGACAATCCATGTTGACTGGCCATTGTGGAGTGGCTTCTCAAAGGGGTAGCATATTTTTAAAAAATGATTTAATAATCAAAGTGCTACAAAAAACCCTTCATATTCCTGAATCATTTTGAGATGCTAGAAATTTCTTCAAAATGAAGAAATGAAAAAAGGTTTCTCTAATATTTGTCTCAGTAATTGTTTAGATTACAAGTGACAAAAAAATTCACCTCAAACTAAAAAAACAAAATGGGTAATGTTTCATCCCTGGACCAGTTCTCTGATGCAGACATATTAGTTACTGTAAACACCTGAATCGTGTTCTCATACTTGAAGTTTAAAGGGCAGAATACTGAGTTTAAAATTACCCATTCCAACACCATCATTGGAACAGGGGAAATAGTTCCTTGAAGTAGAGAAATGTACTGAATTGCTGGATTATCCTTGTTTAGAGGCTCAGGACCAAATCTGTCACTTATGTTAAGATTAATGTATTGTCTTTATCTTATAACTGAACTAAAAGATGTAAACTATTTTACCCACTTGGATAAGGAATGGGAGGACATTGCAGCTGAATGTTCTTAGTTTACATTGTTTTATTTTTTTCTGTTTTGTTTTGTCAGTCTTTGGCAACAACCTTAGGTTGAATCAATTCCCAGTTTCAGGTGCTCTGGTCACCCCTGTGAGCAGGAAGACAGTACTGGATTTGCTTTTGAATGTTCTCTCTCTCTTGTTCTTTCTGTTATTTACCATTCTGTACTATTATACCTTGGATTGTCTATTATGAAAGTATTATTAGTAGAATCCCATTCCTAGATGGCCAAGTAAAGACAAGGGATTAACCTAAGCAATCAATTAAAAAATAAAATCCAACTTTAAAAACACTCTGTCAAATCCTGTAGGCCAATGAGACTGACAATTCAGCTCATAGATCCAACGTGATGATACTTCAGATAAACACAACCACGATGGGTAGGGGCTGTTTTCTGAGATAAGTAGGGAGACAAGTCTACTTTTCTTTCTCTTTTCGTGCATATGAATAACCTCTTAGAGAGGTTGGAAGTGGAAATATGTCCATGCCAGCACAGCCTTATAAAATTAGAGAAACGGTCTCATAGACATGTAATTCAATGGTGTCTGCTTCTTGTTAATTAGCTTGGGAAAATGAGATCTGTTGACATCGTTTTTAATGGCCTTTTAAAATGGTTCTGTGGTCACTGGCCTGTTTAAAGAAAGGTCTCCTCACTGACTCTGAGTGTCTGGTCTTCCCACAGACTATTAGTAACAAGTCAGTATGTCTGACTTATGTCTAACATCCCTCTACAACTTAACGAATGATCAGTAATTAAAATTATTCTTCACATTTTAACATCATCTTTAACTTTTGCTTAAGGCTTTTATTCTGTAGTAAAATTGTTGAGATATTGTTTATATACTTTATTAAAATATTAGAAGTAAATATTTCTGGTAGAATATAGAACCTGAACAAAGTTCTACTAATATCTCACACACACACACACACACACACACACACACACACTTTAATAGGTATGTTTCATGCATTAGGAAAACTTTCAACAACACAGGATTTTCTACATAAAGAATATAGACCTAAATATAAAGGACTTCTTTTTCCAGGATTAGTGGGTATAGAGTTTCATTTTGGACTTAAAATGGACTTAAATATCTCTTGATGCATTTTTTCTCTGTTCTTCTTAACGTAGTGAGCTAGTCAGGTTTATTCTTCTATACTCTACCTCTTTATTATTCTGTATTCTATAAAATATTCTGAAAGACTTGGCATTTTAACCATTCAATGTGAAGCTTAAATTGGGTAGATACAAATGTTATATCTTCACAGTTCATATAACTTCTGTTGTACTATTTTTAAAAATGTACTTTATTGATGCTTTTAATTACCTGTTACTCTAAGTTGTTTTCTTTTTCTTGAAGAGATAGGCTTACTTTATGCTCTTTTGAGAAACTTAAAAATAACCCAAGTTAGATAAGTTACACTTCAATTGCCTGTTGTTCCTTAAAGTAAAAACTTCATGAAAATGCTGCTACTTCAGCCTACAATTCAAACAATCACACAAGTTCTTCTCCTGACACAGAAGTGCTATATGCAGAATTCTCATTTTTATACAACAAACCTTAAAACAATGTTTACTCAGGGACCAGGAATAAATGAAATTAAATAAATAATAATTATTAATATTTTTCTGTTTAATAAATTTTCACCAAAAGTACCCTTAAAGGAAATTAGTATTTTTCTCCTGGAACTGCTTAGGGGTAAGGAATTCAATGACTGCCATGGCTGTTTGGTTTCATTGCCTTGGTACTTGGTAAGCTGCTGGTAGTTTTACTCACCACTGTTTTTGCACCCATCATAGTGAAAACAAAAATATTGTCTTAGTAGTACAAGGAAAATTGTTTTCACCATGCACCCCTGGAAGTGCCCAGCTGACAAGCAGGGATTTGCTGACAACATATTAAGAGCAACTGGTCTGGGGACTCAGCATTATCTCTTGTTCTGCAGACTTCAGTAGTTGAAAGTGAGTAGCTTTTGTCTCTGTGGTGATCTCTTTGTTGTTCATGAAAATATCTCATCATAATAAAAAAAGAAATTTATTTCTTGCTGAAATTTAAACCTCTTGTGGTATTGGGTGAAACTCCAGAGCAGTTGTTCTCTATTAGGTAGTGTTTCTGACTGCTTTGTTTTTGTTTACATAGCATCTCCTCCCAACACATGCTTTCAAGATCACTGTGGCAGACGCAAAAAGTGCCAGAGGGCCTTGCAATGGCAGTTACAGCCCTGGCCCGGTAGTGACACACACATTGTTTCCCCTAATTATTCACTGGATAGAAACGATCGTATGACTCACACCTAACTTCAAAGTCCTTGGAGATGTAATGATCCCATATACCCAGACACTCAAGAGAATCAGATAAGAACACTAAAAGACTCTATTCCATCTCATTATTCGCACATCTGTTCAATATTTTTGGAGTTCCTATAGGTACCAAGAATCTTGCTAGACAATTTTGGTAAGAAGTCACAGGCATTTCTTGGCCTCTGTCAAGGGAAATTGAGGTAGATAAATAATAAAGTATGATAAATGCTTTAATGAAGTAAGTACCTGGCAGGGTTTCAGATACTATTGAGGTGTGGTATAAGGAGATCACAAACAGACTCATTGGCCCAGTCACCTGGAGGAGACTGTTAACCTCACAAGAGCTATTTCTATGCAGCACAGGGATTAGATTTGATTCTAGTAAAATAAAGAATTTGAGAAGGTGATATAGAAGAGGTATACAAAGGGTAATTTTAAATAAATCTTGCGGATAATTTGAAGAATTGCCTCAAAGACAATGAAGACCCCTGAGGCCAATATGTTTGGTAAAGTTGAGAGAGTAGCAAAGGCTGAAAGTAATTAAAATGGGGCCAAAATAAAGCCTTTTTTTTTTTTTACGTTGTTGGGCATTGTAGTCTTTGGTGAAATGCCAACTTGCAGATACTAATCAAATTATTTTTTTTGAAATTAAAGGTTTTTTTTCTAGTCAATGTCTGCTAAGGATGCTGAACATAAACTTGAATGTCATATTCCTGCTTTACTTTGATCATGGATGGGGCGTTGTTTGGCAAAAGGACTTGAAGTTTAGGCTCTCAACAGAGGCTTTCTGCTGAAAGAGGAGATGTATGCTCCTCTGTCAGGCAAACAACAGAAGGGGTTTTGTTTAAGGCCACATAAGCTTAAAACTGGCAGATGCCCTTACTTCCAGCAGCTTAAAGTGTTCAGTCTGAACAAAGCATTCATCATTGAGCATACAATGAAGACTTCTAGATGTCAAAGGAAGAGATGGTTAGATGATTAGGATGCCATTTCAGCAAACAAAATGGACTACTTTCATTCACTTTTGGAATAATTGTCCTTTTTTTCCCTAAATTTCACGATACCATCTCTTCACTTTCAACAAAACAAATAACAAAGCTTTGATTGTAAGCACTAGTTTTAATCATTGTCCAAACAGGAAAAAAATAAGTTAATAATTGCTTAAGGAAAATTATGTCTATAAATAAAGCTCACTTTGCTATTCAAGTGAATTTTAAAAAGAAAAATCTCTATATTTATAAAAAATATGTGTAAATGTTTTTAATAAAAAGCTGTCTAGTTATTAAAGTTTATGCCTCTATGACTTTGTACATTATGTTGAAATTTAAATAAACAGGAAAAACCTGTAATGATTACATTATAATATCCTATTTCTTGAGACATTTTTTTCATGTGTGTATTTTTTGTATGTGTGTTTGCATTTAAAGGTGTTTCTTAATACAAAGCGAATATTTACATATTCTCATTTCTGTATGAAATGACCCAAAATTAATAATTCCTGATTCTCAATTATTTATTTATTTTTTTGAAACGGATTCTCGCTGTTGTTGCTCAGGCTGGAGTGCAATGGCACCATCTCGGCTCACTGCAACCTCTGCCTCCCGGGTTCAAGGAATTCTCCTGCCTAAGCCTCCTGAGTAGCTGGGATTACAGGCGCCCACCACCACGCCTGGCTAATTTTTTTGTATTTTTAGTAGAGATGGGGTTTCTGCATGTTAACCAGGCTAGTCTTGAATTCCTGACCTCAGGTGATCTGCACGCCTCGGCCTGCCAAGGTGCTGGGATTACAAGCTTGAGCCACTGCACCTGGCCCTAATTCTTGATTCTTGATAAGTCACCTATGTTAAATTTGATGTAGGACCAAAGTTTTCCAATTTCAGAAAAATTATAAGTTATGATCACTTTAATAATTTTTTAATTTATCTTTAACTCAACTCACACTCAACTCATTTTTTATTTTGATTTTTCAGCTTTAAATTATTATATATTTATATTTATTGTATTTTGCCAGAAAATAATGTTCTTTTCCAATTCCTGATGAATGACATATGCCAGTTTGTCTATGTGCAATTTTCACTTGAAAATGCTGACAATTTGAAAAATCAAGTAATTCTTACAGAATTTATCCCTCCATTACTGCATCATTGCTATTGCTGTTGTTTTTGATAAACCCAGTTTTTTGCAGAGATTGATATTCCTTGAATCAGACAGATCTGTGTCAATACCCTGAATCTTGTATTTACTGTTTAACCCCTCATGCAAGTTACCTAATGCTGATACATAAAGTGGCATGCATCCTACCATGCCAAAAAGATTACATGATTCATTGCATATAAGCATTTCAAAAAGCAGACACATAGTAAGCATTCAAAAAATCATAGTTATTTTTTTCTATTAGTATGGCTTTTGAAACTGAAAAGCAGGCTTTCAGGATAAGACAATGAGCAGTTAAAGATACATGAAATAAAGAGAATGGGTAAGAAAGTTAGAGTTAAAACATATTTTCTTGAAGGTGAACATTTATCATACTCCTCAAGCATTATTAATGTGATAGAAAAATAATCATAATAAAGTGCATACTCACGAGGGGAAAATGATAAGAAAGAACGGCTTACAGAAGCACAGTAATTGTGTCAGTAAAGAATATAAAAAAATGAAAGCTAAGAGCTTGCACAGAACAATAGTAACCGGAAGCAAGACAGTTCTCAGAATCCCAAGAGGACTTAAAACACTGAAATACCAGAAACTGTGAATATTGAGATCAGTGTGGGGATAGAATAAAACTATGGATGTGGAAAAGTTAGTTTTTTTAAAATTGCCTCCGTAATTAAAGGAGCTTCTAAATCCACACGGCACCTAATATTTATCCTCTGGACTGTGTACAATGAGAGAAATTAGATTTAGGTACATGTAATAAAAAACATTGAAGCTAACGTGCTAAATTGAAATTTGTTCCAAAACAGCAAGAAGCTGAGCAGTCTTCTCAAATTCTAATCTAAGAACATTGGCAGTAAGTTGTAGACAGCCAAAGAAAGGTCACTTTTTTTTTCTAAAAAACCTGGAATTTTCCCAGAAATATAAATAAACCTGTACGTTTGGAAATGGTATAATGGGAAAAATATTAAGTTTTTTTATCCAGTCACTATGGAGCACAGCTTTTTTCAAACAGATAGCTAACAATAGGCTATGAAATTCTTCTTTTTGAAACATAATCAGAAAACCAGAGACCAACAAACATTCAGAAAATGATGCAAATACAAGACAGACACTAAAACATATACACAAAAAGTGAAAATATTTGAAGATAACAGAGACAGTGCAAAGAGTACTAAACAAACAAAAACATATACAACCTGAGATAATAAACAATATTGAACTTGAATCATTCAGGAGAGACTGGGTCACACTGCAGTAAGAAAAAAACAAAACTGTAGTGGCTTAAAAAATGAAGATGGATGGCCTGTAATCCCAGCACTTTGGGAGGCCAAGGCGGGCAGATAATGAGGTCAAGAGATCAAGACCATCCTGGCCAACATGGTGAAACCCCATCTCTACTAAAAATACAAAAATTAGCAGGGTGTGGTGGCACACTTATGTAGTCCCAGCTACTCGGGAGGCTGAGGCAGGAGAATAGCTTGAACCTGGGAGGCGGAGGTTACAGTGAGTTGAGATCATGCCACTGCACTCCAGCCTGGCAACAGAGCAAGACTACGTCTAAAAAAAAAAAGATGGATGAATGTATGTTTGTATGTATGCATGTATGCACATATGTGTGTATGTATTGGTGGTGGTGGTGGTGGTAATAGTAATAGTATAGCTTTGGAAAGTTCACTCTGGGTGCAGATTACTGTCAGGATCACTCAATATCTAAGTTGATAAAGGGTCCAGCATCCTATAGCTGCACCACCTGGTCACACATACTTTTTCAGTCAGTTGGATGGGAAATGGCATATAAAATGTTTTACATCAGCAATAAAATGCTGACAATGGAAAAATACATCAGTTTTCACTACATTCCATTGGACAGAAAAAGTCACATGTTGCCATGTGTCTTCAAAGAGAAGGAGAAAGTAGAATCCTTTCATTCACTTGGAACGTAAAGAACATCAGATATGATTGATCATTCCAAGTTTGTAGCATAGTCTTTTAAATATGAATATGATGCTAGCAACTAAGATTTTTAAAAAAGATACAGTTTTTATATGTTGTAACTAACAGCAGGTAATAAATTCAGTTGTGAAAATGGAATGGACAAATGAAGATATCTTAGACTGTGAAAAAAATTAAAAACCAACACCACCACTAAACAGATTACTATAAGAAATGATAAATTGGAAACCAAAAATTTTAGAAAGAATGATAAAAATAGGCCGAGTACAGTGGCTCATGCTTGTAATCTCAGCACTTTGGGAGGCCGAGACGGGTGGATCACCTGAAGTCAGGAGTTCAAAACCAGCCTGGCCAACATGGTAAAACCCTGTCTCTACTAAAAATACAAAAATTAGCCAGGCGTGGTGGTGTGCACCTGTAATCCCAGGTACAAGTAATACGTAGAATTATTATGTCTGAATTGAACAGGCTTGCTCTTAGTAATGTATAATGACAAGACACATACTAAGATATTTCATTGTAAAATGTTAAAAACAGTTACATCCATAGAGGTAAAAAAAATATTTAAAATGAAAATAAAATGTCATTAGAATTCTCAAATTCAGCATTGAATTGTAGAAAATTATTGAGCAATATCTTCAAATTTCTGAGAAAAATTATTTTGGGAATTATTAAACTATTATTAATCTCCTCTGAATGTAAACTTAAGACATTCATTGCACGAAAGAAAATAAATAAAAATTGTCCATCTTATCTCTTTTGCTAGGAAGCTACTAGTACTTTAACAACCGTGGGGAATTAATTTTTTACAGAGAGATCAAGAGAGAAAATCCTGTAGGATAAAAATGAATCCCTCATAATGAGATTCTCTGCAGAGTAAAGTAGAACCATTCTGGCAGGGAGCATGAGATGAGTATGCTGAAGAAGGCAAACCTTCTGTATTAAAAACAACAATGGAAAAAAAATCAACAAAACAATTGGTGGGAGAGTCATGGGAAATAAGAGTATTAAGAATTGTATTTTACATTCAGAAGCTAGCAAATATTGAAAACATGAATGGACTGTGTATAATAATAGAAATATTATCCTTAACATTTCACTCAACACAGTTTACTTGAATTTCTATTTTGGTGATTGGCTTTATTTCTTACTAAATCTCCTTAAATTAACAGTTAAAAAGTGAGATTTGTGTGGGGTAGGGTGTTTCAAATTTTATTTGTCTTTGTCTTGAAATCATTTCTTCAGGACCAGACTTTTTTTTTTTTTAAGTTAACCTGTTAAAGCTTGAGCAAAGATAATGAATACAAAACTGTTTCTCCAAAATCAATCATATTAAATCCTAAAGAGAAGAAAGAGAAGATATTTATTTTTGATGTGGATATACTTGCAAATATAAACTTTAACTACATACAAAGTGTTCCTAATGGGCCTTTCTTGAAAATATCCTATTCTGTATACATGGCCATGATTCATGACACATTGCAAATACTGAATAAAATGAAGAGCTTTAAATTATTTAAGTTGTATATTTGTTGCAAATGTAAACTCTCTCATCTATAAGTAATCTTATAGAAGTTTTCAATACACCTTATTTGTATTTACAGTGGTTTGAATGGCAAAATGTAAGTGCTCAGGAAAATATAATGTAGAATTGATTTTTAAGTGGTTGTGGACATGGCTATTCACTGTGGAATCATTCAACTGCAGATAAAACTAGAATCAAAATAGATGTACTTATTCTGGGTAAAAATGATAAGCATTTCAATAATTAGCAAAATCAGTTTCCAAACAGTTTTCATCATTTCAAATATTTCAGAAAATAATATATCTATTGGATCTTTTTGTGAGGAAGCACCATATAAATGAATGAGTTTCCAGAAGAGATAACTAATAGCATTTCTTGAGTGGAGATTTCACTATCCATAATATGGGAGAAACTACAGACAGCCATTACCTTGCTGAAATACACTTCTCCTGTACACCTTAGAGTCCTGTTAATAAGACATTAATTTTAGCTTGTCACTTTCAATCAGCATATTATTATTTTCCACCCTGTTTTCAACAATTCATTTTCAAAAGCATTTTAATCACACTAGACATATATGATTTTTACAGAACCAACAAAGCTATTACCTAAGACTGAAAATCTGTTTGGGTAAACTCTTGTCAAATTTGTGTGAGTTGTTTTCTCTAATATTATTTTAATATTTTAATATTATTTTATTATTAGTGGAAAAGTAAATAAATAAAGCAAAGTAAAAAGAAGGCCTATCATTTTATATGTATATATATATATGTGCGAGTGTGTGTGTATACATATATAGACACTTAATTGACAAAAGCATGAAAAGTACATATAAATATAAGACATGATATACCAAACCTGTATTCTGATTCTATTCTGGAGGAACAGATTTTGGGAAATAAAGAAAAACTTCAAAGTAGTAAAATGTTTTTATTTTTAATTTCAATTTCAGTAAGTTACAAATTATCTAACAAAAGAAATTAGAAATTTGGTGCTATGTAACAAAAACAACAAAAACTCAATTAACCACTTTCTAATATACTATAAGAATTTACAAGGTGTTCAATGAATAATGGATTACTGCCTCATTGGAACTTAAACTCAATGAGCTTAGCTTACATTATCTAAATAAAGTTACTAATAAATATTTGAAAAACATGCATTGAAAAAAATTTATTTTCATAAAGCAATTCAACCTGGCACCTGAAAAAAGATAAAATGAAATATACATTTATTTATACATACAAAACAATAAAATAAAAAACAATGCAGTCTCTTATTTTTTAAAAAACGCTATTGCACATTTAAAATATTTAGTTTACATTTTAACAGGGTTTTTCTGCTAAAATGCATTATAGTCATAACTACAAAAAAGATTCATTAAGGGCTGAGTTTTGCAGTAAAAAATATTGTTTTTTGTAAAATATCTAAGAGCTTTCCTATAAATAAAAAACTTCCCTATTCTTTGAAAAAAAAAACTGATCTTAAATTTATGTTTATTTAGAAATATATTCATTACATACTAGAAGACATGATTCTTTTGTTTTGTTTTTTTTGTTGTTGTTTAATTTTCTTTTTGACATGGCACTTCAGGAAGAAGAGATATTTTTGACCTGCATTCTTTCTACCACAATTCCACATGGCATCATATTATGGAAATAAAATACTTTTTTTTTTCAGAAAGCTATTATGGTGTTGATATCCATATCAAAGCTTGCTTCCCTAATTTTCTTTTCCCGATAAGACTCAGACTTATTTTTGATAAAGCATGCTGACCAAATACTGAGACTATAATAGGGCCATATTATCTCAGTCATCGGGAAGGAAAAATCCTTTCAGAAGTATAATGAGACAGTATTTCTTATTTCCTGTCTAGCTCCATTTTTAAAGAAACTTGTTCTCACTGTATTGTTACAATATAAAGCTTTATGATGTAAAATTTTGCACTGAACCCTCTAGGTCTGTAAAATATCTTCTATTGTAAGACTCCAACATCTATAGAAATATGGATAGTTAAAAGCTATGTCTATTAACTTTAAATGACACAGTTGCATCTTTTTTTAACATATCAACAATGGTAAACAAATGCAAATAGGCAGAATATGCCTATTTTATATAAACTGAAATATATCTAAAAACTATTCTAACTAAACTTAATCCTCTAGTTATACTCAAGCATACAGAATAAATATACCCTTTAATGAAGTGGCTATTAAAAACTGGATGTAGGATGTCATCATCTTATTATAAGTGATTTCAGTACTGCTCATCCATTAGCAGCTTTCACTGGGTTTATATCACACATTTCCATGGGGCTAAGACCCTTCTGAAAGCATGATGAAAAAGAGGGCATGCTTTGCCTGCCCCTTTCTATGTGTATCATTTTAAATTCATCACAGTAGCCATGCCTGCTGCACTTGAGATTTTAGAACTTGTTTTGCACACAGTGCAAGCAGAGTACAACAAGCAGCCTATAATAATAATATATAAAGAAAGCAGAAGTGGCAGTAGTTTTTACTAAAACTGAATGTCTTTTAGTCCAAAGAGTGTCTAGTTGAAGAACACAAACTTGGGAAAAACTGACTTTTCTGAGTTACAGGATAGCCCTACATGAAACTGTAATTTAAGTAAACATTTTCCACTGCACATTGTTCTGAAAGCTTAGAGGTGGGAAAAATGAATTTTCATATATTTGGCCAGGTAGATTTCAATGTTGCGTGGAAATACCCTATGAAATATATACTAATTTACCCTATGAAATATATACTAATTTGTTTGACTTTTTGAATAGAGTTTTCCATAACTTAATTTCTCTGTTTGTAATAAACACACATTTTTTACCTTTCAAAGTGCCAGCCATTTTGTGAAAAGTGCATTCAACATTGGTGTGATCTCACATGTGAATGATCCTTTTTCATGCCTAAGCCCCAACATACAACCATAAATTCAGTACAACTGTAATGTAACCAGATTTTACCAGAATCCACCCCCCAACAGATTAAGCTTCCACAAAAAAATCTGAGTATTACAAATTCAGGTATTTTCCCCAGTATTTCATTATTGCTTTCTAATGGAGTATTAATTTAATAATTTTTTATTAAGATGAATCAAATTTTAATTACATTCAAAGAATTACCATTCAAAATCAAGGTGTGTGTGGTGTATATATATGTGTGTAATTTATGGTAGCAGTATCACCAATTTTTAATAGGACACTGGAAGTGAAATTTTACACTTTGTACCTTTTTTTCTTCTACAGTTCTTTTGCAGCAAGATGTGTTTATCCATTTATCTATATATCAATGCCATAGCTGTTATCTAAGGACTATGTACAAATAAAACGAGATTTGAATACAAAATGCAATATCTGATAGCTGCAGTCTTTTCAGTAAATTTTACTTTACTAATTAACACAAAACATGACTTTTTAATTTAATAATTTATTAATCCCTTTATTTGGTTAAAAAATGTATTGAATGTCTATGTATAACTAAACACTATTATTTTGTTTTAATTATTTCTAAACATCGTAAAACGGCTATTTAGTGGTTGATATGGCTTATTTTTGTAAATCCACGTTGTGCATTATGTGCTGAGATTCACCCTTTGTTGTTATCTATAACTATAGACAGAAACAGTTTAACCTTAAAACTTAATGAAGAGTCATGTCTTTCCATGTATGGGATTTATCCAGGGACCAGGAAAATGGCCTCAAGGATATTGTGTTTTCAAATTTGTGTTTTTATTTTATCTTTAAAAAGGCCCCAAATATTCTACAATATTCAAATCTCAATATCTGTCTATTTATCTATCTATCTATCTATCCATCTATCTATCTATCTAATCTATCTCCCTCCCTTCCTATCATATATTTATCTATCTCCAGGGTTGGTTCTAGTAGTTTTATGTCATGTGATTGTATAATAATCATTGTACATATGTTACAACATTTATTTTCCATGTTTTCCTGGATGACTCTTTATTCTTTTATTTTTCTTTTTTTAAACGGTACTAGGATGTACATTCTCCCACATGTCTCTCCAACACATGGACCAGGGTTTCTCTTTTATTTCTGCTTAGAAGTTGAACTAATGAGTCACAAACTATGTGAATTGTATATTCAATGTTACATGGAGATGCTTTTTTTTCCCTAGAGAAGTTATATCAGTTTGAATATCCAGTAGAAATGTGTAAGAGAACCCTACTGACTCTTGAAAATTGGGTATGGCAAACTCATTAACTTTTGTAATTTTATCACATGAAATTCCATAGACAGAAATTTGTTTTATATAAAAATGCAACAATGTATATTAATTTTGAGAAACAATTGAATACAGTAAGTATAATATTGTCTATATATGTAAAATCCATTAAAACATGTTTGTTCTTCTATATATGCTTTCTATGGGTATTATCATATGAAATTGTTTGGTAGCAGTTATTGGCCTTAAAATTCAGATTCTTCTGAAAAGTATGCTTTTGAAAAATATGTTACTAACAGTATAATTTGCTTTGTCTACATTGACTCAAGTTTATAAGAATATATTCATGTATTTGCATATAAACATTTTAAAAAGAAAAATAAGTGTAATTCAGCTTAATAGTTTGTTATTAATATATAGTATATAATCAGATTTAATAGTTTTATAAAATTTTAACCCATTCATGTTACAGGCAGAAAAACAGAGCTATTAAAATAATGAGATCTGCAACTTTGCCTTATTATCTTCCAACAAAATTTGGTTTTATAGGATTCATTCACTGAAGCCAATTTTATTTCATGCTATACTCAGAAATGTGTTTATTAAGTTCCAAGACGTTATTGTGCTAAAATTGGATGGATTACATGTTACATCAATCCTGAAGTTGCACTGCATGTCAAATGAGATCATATAATGATTTCAGAACAACTAAATTTGCTCTGAAATACTGAATCTGAAAGTTCACATCAGTTCAGAGTAAATTATCTATTTTTTCTTATGATGAGAACTCATTTTGTATAATATGAAGTTCATTGTTAATTATGAGAAATTTCTTTCTTAATTTTTATAATACTCATTTGCTTATAGAAGATTAAATAATATATAGAACAGAAAAATTATAAATATATTTTATTTGTCATTTGGACATATTCCTCTACTAAATATAAAAGTAGAAATATTTTGTCAGAACATTCAATTCTAAATTTAAATATTTGTAGTACTAAAAATAAGGAATACATGTTTTGTAAATTTACATTTTTGTGCTTTACATTCTAGTTACTTTTGTGTGTTTTGTTTTTTAACTACTGTAGGCTTTGAATCAAGTCTTCTAAGTGTATTTAATATAATAGCCATATTAAATAGCTTTGTTTTCAATACAGTTGTTGTTGAATATCTAACAAATATATTAGGTGTTCATGCCTAGGGAAGGAAATGTACCAATAATTGTTTCTCACTGAAACCATTCAACCTTCAAAAGAACATATTTTATTTTAATAATAAAGAGAATATACAACAACAGTGAACTTCCGGGAGGAAAAAAACAAAACAACACAATACAATACATCTAAATCAGAGGACTTTGGTAATCTTCCACTCAACCACACTTTTTACTTATTACATTTAAGGAAAATAAATTGAGAGATGTTTGTTGATTGGTTAAAGATGTACAAAAGGATAGTGGAAAAGGTAAAGTTGTAAATTCCATATTTAACCTATGGACCTTTCAAGCAGTGAAAAGTGTTAAAAAATGACATGAGATTCTTTGGTAGTAACTGAATTACACTGCAGAATTATACAACCGGAAGCTCTGTGAAAAGATGAAGTGAAATTGATGAGGGATCTCTTGCACTAGATGAGTATCCTCAAACCTCCTTCCAATACTAGCAACTTTGTTTGGAGGGCAGTTAGGGTATCTCTACCATGAAGAAAAGTTGGATCTGAAATTGGAAATAAAGGGTGATATTTTAATAACTAATCTGTTGTGTTAGTTGTTTTATCATTATTTATCAATGTGTCTTTTTATTCTAGGTTGAAATTTACAGCTGATCAATCCTGTCATAACCTCATCATCCATTGCTCAAAGTCAGATTTAATGGGTTCCATGAAATGAGAGCACAACTGGAAAAACAAGTAAGAACTCCTCAGCACATGCATTATGTGGTAATTCTGTAAATGGAGTATCTGACAATGTTCTCTTTTTCAGCTCAGCACTCCAAGACACTGAGACAGAGTGAAACATTTAGTGGCCTGATGACACGAGAAAAATATCTGAGTGTATTTATTTCAAAAGGGCTAAATAGGCCGGGCGCGGTGGCTCACGCCTGTAATCCCAGCACTTTGGGAGGCCGAGGCGGGCGGATCATGAGGTCAGGAGATCAAGACCATCCTGGCTAACACGGTGAAACCCCGACTCTACTAAAAATACGAAAACAAAAAATTAGCCGGACATGGTGGCGGGCGCCTGTAGTCCCAGCTACCCAGGAGGCTGAGGCAGGAGAATGGCGTAACCTGGGAGGCGGAGCTTGCCGTGAGCCGAGATCTCGCCACTGCAATCCAGTCTGGGTGACAGAGACTCCGTCTCAAAAAAAAAAAAAAAAAAAAGCTAAATAAATACAGCTGACCCTGCCATCTCTCCATCACAAGATGTCACACAGCATGACTCTTATTCTAATTACTGAATGCTCAACCTGCTTCTTAGAGTTGAATGTGCGTACAAACACACACACAGTTTCTTTAAACATTCGTGTTCTTAAACCACGTTTAGGGAGTCTGATTGCCTAGGTTTGAACTAGAGACTCAGATTATTGTAATCCAGTTCCCTCAAAATATGAATTTTGTGGGAAAATGTCCTTTATTATACAAAGTACAATACAAGCTAGTATGTTTTATAATTTCATGTTTAATTTACTCTAAAAAACACTAGATCTTCAGAATATTTTAGCCAGGGATATGTTCAGTAATTCAGCAATTATCAGATTAAGAAAAAGTTGCTGCACATATAAATAATAGTAAGTTTAAAGAAAGAACAAAAAAATGAGAAAATTCGAGCTATATTTTGTAAATATTGCCTGGTTTATGAGTATAGCATTAAACTCACCTGGTAGTTTCCATGGCAAATTCTGGTTTCAAAATTTGACATCAAGAAACTGACAAAAAGGCCAAGAGCCAAAAGCCAAGTGCAGCTGAAATAACAGCTATGAGTACATTTCATCAGAAAATTCCTTAAAAACATTACTATAAAAGTCGGTCTTACTTTTGCTCAGATATTCATAATGTCAACTGCTGTGTAGTCCAATTACAATTTCTGTGTCATTTCAGAAAAGTTTTAAAGAGAAATATTTTTTCTTCACAATTATTTGTTAGGCATCATCCTAAGGGCAAATGTACATCTCCAGTTTAATATAAAAAATATAAATATATTACTCCTTTAAGAGAAGAGTAAAATTAAGAAAAAAACTGTATTATGTGTATTAATATTTAAAGATAACTTCACGGTAATGTGTGCACCAGGAAAGTAATTTGAAAATTATTATATTAATAGAATATCTCCATCTTTGGCTTTAATTGTAATTTACATGTCAAATGATTTCAGTGAGAAAGCAAATTCTTAGGTAAGGCATAATTTTGTTTCTCATTAAAATTATTTAATTTTTACTGAATCGAAATTTGTATATATTTATTGTGTATGTCATGATGTTTTGAAATCTGCATTTATTATGGAAGTCTAAATTAAATAACATGCATAACTTTATATACTTATTTTTATGGTGAAAACACAAAATACGTCTTAGAAATTTTAAAGAATACAATGCATTATTATTAAACATAGCCAACTTGTATGATAGATATCTTAAACTTATTCCTGCTAACTGAAATTTTGTGTCCTTTGACCAACGTACTCTTACCCTCACCCCAGCACCTGATAACCACAACTCTGCTCTCTGCTTCTGTGAATTCAACATTTTTAGATTCCACATGTGAGATCATGTGATATTTATCTTTCTGTGCCTAGCTTATTTCACTTAATGTCTTACAAGCTCTTCCAGGTTTTCACAAAAACAAAACAAAATATAACAAAAAAAGAGGAGTTTCTTCCTTTTTAAGACTGAATAATATTCCATTGTGTACATATACCATATTTTCTTTAACCATTCATTCATTATGGACACTTAGTATAATAGCGTGATTACACTGTAATTACTGTAATTGTCTTGGTTATAGTGAATCATGCTGCAGTGAACATGGGAGTGCAGATATCTGTTCAACATATTAATTTTTGTCCTTCGAATATATACCCAGTAGTAGGATTGTTGAATCATACGGTAGTTTTATTTTTAATTTTTTGAGGACCCTCCACACTGTTTCCCATAATTGTAGTACTAATCTACATACCCATCACAGTGTGCGAGTTTTTCTTTTCCTCTACATTCTTGCAAATACTTCTACTTGACATTTTTATATAACAGCTATATCTCCATTTTTATCTTTCATGTTTGCATGTTGTTTAATGAACTAGAAACAGAAAACAATCAGAGAGGTTGGAGTATACATCTTAAATATTTCACTTGTAAATGTCTACTTTGATATTCAAAACAAATTTTTCTCAAGCCTAGTTGAGCCTAGTTGGTTCAGCCATGGCAATATCACATCAAGCAATAGGTAGGAAACCTCAGAAAGGTAGAAATGAGAATGAGAACAAAGATATCTTAGACATGGGTATGAACTGCTAAAAAATGTCTGTGTATCAATCTTCCTACATGTTTAGACTAATATGGCTATGATGTGGATATGCATCATATATGCATCGTATATTAAACTTCTTTATACATATTATATAATATAAATACATCATGCACTTTATAAAACATTATAGAGTCATGTTTCACTTAATGATAGGGATATGTTCTAAGAAATGCATTATTAGATGATTGTATCATTGTGCAAACGTCATAGAGTGTCCTTGAACAAAGCTACATCATATAGCCTACTACACATGCAGGCTCTATGGTATAGGCTATTCTTCCTAGGCTACAAATCTGTACAGCATGTTACTATGCTGAATAATCTAAGCAACAGTAACACAATAATATTTGTATATCTAAATATATGTAAACATAGAAAAGATACAATAGGCTGGGTGATGGCTCACGCCGATAATCCCAGCACTTTGGGAGGCCAAGGCAGGAGGATTACTTGAGCCCGGGAGTTCAAGACCAGCCTAGACAATACAGTATAGTGAGACCCTGTCTGAGTAAAAATAATAAAAAAAGACACGGTAAAAATATGACAGCACAGTAGGTTTTCATACACGAACATCACAACAAACACATGAGCTGTGCTTTGCTTTCTGATGAAGCCACTAAGCAACGGAACTTTTCAGCTCCATCATAATCTTATGGGACCCTCAAAGGACATGCAGTCCATCATTTACCAAAACAATGTTCCATGACATGTTTCTATATATAATGAACTTTAAAAGGGTGTAAAAATATTTGGGTTTTTGGCCACCAACAAAATTTTATGCCAAACAAACCGTTATTTGTAGATTGCTTCATAAATATTTGTATAAGAATTTAAGAAAAATTAGTTGTTTTAAATTGATCAGTTCAAAATGAATTAAGATCAATGGTACAATAAATTCTAAAAGTGATATTTATTATAAGGGTTAGTGATGTATTTTATTTTATTTCTTTTTTTTCTTTTGCATTTTATTGTTAGTGACCTAAGTATTTTTATTTTATTTCACTCCTGTTTCCCAACTTTTATTTTAGGTTAAGGGGATGCATGTGCAGGTTTATTACATGGGTAAATTGTGTGTCACTGCGGTTTATTGTGCAATTTGATCCTGTCACCTAGGTAGTGAACATAATATTCAATAGGTAGTTTTTTTAACCTTTACTCCTCTGCCAGCCTCTGCCTTATAGTATTCCCCAGTGTCTATTGTTCCTATCTTAATGCCCACGTTTACTCAATGTTTAGGACCCTCTTATAGTTGACAACAGGTGGTATTTGGCTTTCTGTTCCTGTGTTAATTGCTTAGGATAATGGCCTCCATTGCGTCCATGTTGCTGCAAAAGACATGATTTTGTTATTTTTTATGGCTGCACAGTAATGAATTTTATTTTATTATTTATTTATTTATTTGAGACAGAGTTTCACTCTTGTTGCCCAGTCTGCAGTGAAATGGTGCAATCTCAGCTCACTGCAACCTCCACCTCCCAGGTTCAAGCGATTCTCCTGCCTCAGCCTCCCCAGTAGCTGGGATTACAGGTGCCTGCCACAACGTCTGGCTAATTTTTTTGTATTTTTAGTAGAGATGGGATTTCACCGTGTTGGCCAGGCTGGTCTCAAACTCCTGACCTCAGGTGATCCAACCACCACGGTCTCCCAAAGTGCTGGGATTACAGGCGTGAGGCAGTGCGCCTGGCCAGTAATGAATTTTAGATACATATTTAAAAAATGATTCTGTGCCATGTTTCATCGCAATAAAATCATTAAAAATAAAATCCAGCCACAGCTTATTAAGAACAGTTTGTGAATAACCACTTTGTGCACTGGCATTCATGTGTAAATGTATTATATTTAATAATTAGTATGCATATTAAATGTTATATATCATGCTATGTTTCTAAGCTGTTTATTAACTACGAGATTGTTCAAGTAACTTAAGTAACATGATGCAAACTCTAAAAAGTAGTCACAAAGGTAAATCCGATTAAAGCTGATCAAAGAGGAAACTTGTTAGAGCTAGTCATAAAGTTTTTGGGGATATTCAAATGGAACTTTGTGAATTTTAAATATGTTAAAATATTGCTGCTGCTCCTCGGGAATATGTTAAAATGTTAAATATTTAAAATGCTAAAGAATAATTTTCTTGATTGACTCTCCACTTTTATGAACACATTCATGTACTTCATCATTTTTAATATCAGTATTAAAGGAACATCAATAGGTATTTCAGACTCCCAATATGCTAATTTAATTTGGCCATCATGGAATATTTCCTAAGTAACAACCAAACCTGTTTGTGCTTGCGTTTTAGTTTTTAGCAGTAGTGCTTTTCACAGAAGCAAATTCTGACGGCAGTTAGTGTAACTCTTCTAGCTTAACAGTGTTAAAGTTTTTTTTTTGTCTTTTTCACTGTAATTTAAACATTTATTCCTGTAGAATTTCCATTTGAAAGTAGTTGAACTCTTTTATATTTAGTACCTGCATAATTTGGGAGTCCCCAAGACCACTCCCACTTTGGATGCCAACCGCAAGTTTGGGAATCCCCGACAGCACCCTCACTTCTGACACAAACCACAAGTACAGAGGTTCCCAAAATTATCCCCAGGTTTGGTAACTTGCTAAAGAAATCACAGAACTCTCCAAACCTGTCAGACTCATGGTGACAGTTTATTATAGTGAAAGGATACCAATTAAAATCATTCAAGGAGAGAGTGCACAGGGTGGGACCCAAGAGGTTTTCGAGCATGAGCTTCTGGTGGTCTTCTCGGTGGAGGACAACTTCTAGTTTCTCCCAGTGAAGTTATGCAAAACAATGATTTTTCTTTTCTCATTGATGTGTGATGACACCCATGGAATACTACCAACTAATGAAGATCATCCAGGCCTTGGTGTCCAGAGCTTCTATTGATGATCAGTCACAAATTTTGGTAGACTTCCCGCATGACCAGCCTTTGTCCCCATCCCCTCCAGAGGTCAAGATATTACCAGATAGTCCAAAGCCTGCACTGTAAGTCACATGGTTAGCATAGAGTATTTAGGATTCCCCAAGTCTTGAAGGTAAACAAAGGCATTCTTATAAGGCACTCCTATCTAAGCATATTCCATGTGCTTAGAGATTACCTCCCAGGAAATGAAGGAAAATGCCAGACCTCTCTTCAGCAATATTAATTTTGTACTTCACAGGACCTTAAACTTAATTTACTGAATTATACATTGTATGTGTATGTTCAAATGAAACAAGAAAAAACATTTATGAAGTTTGCATTAAATCCAGAGCTTCATTATTTTTCTGAAAGAGTGTTAAATACGAAAATTTAAAGAGAATTTCATTATTTCACTGTTTTAGATTTAATTGTACTTCCTCATCAGTTTATAAAGTAGATAACAATGATCAAAAAATCTTGAAAGTGTATATATCTAATTTTAATATACTGTCACATGAAATTTTACTCTGATCTCCTAGAATGTAGAGAAAATGGCATAAAGAAGGACAAAACAAAATAATAACCTTACATTTAAAAATTTTGCTCTAAGAATTAGGAGACTGAGAGTCTTGTCCTGGTAGTGTGACTAATTTGTTATATGATTTGGGCTAATAGCTTAACCTTTCTAGAACTCAATTTGCCCATCTGTAATTAGTGAGCAGATTGAACTACATTGATTTTAAATTCCTTCATTACCTTCAAAATTCTACATATTTATACTTCTCAAAAAAGAGCTATGTAAGAATTAACCCATCATAAAGATAAAGTCAGATAATAAAAGCAGCATTCTTCCAATATTAAAAGGACCTAGAGAAATATTAAGAATTTGAGTTACTTTTATTTCTAGATCATAATTTTTGAACTTACTTTTATTAAATATCTCTCCCTAATATCTCAGCAAAGTAAAAACATTCACATTTAAGACAATCATGAACTTAATTTAATCAAATTAAATCAAATAATAAACTTATTTCAACATACAGCATCAACACATAGCCCTTTGCTCAGTATGCTTGAAGGATGTTGAATTTGCCTTGATTTTTCAGATTATTTATACAATTTTAAGCTTCATTTATATTCAGTAGTATAGATAAGTTAAAACAATGTAGCACAAATATATCCATTCTTTTATTATTCAAGTAAAATTTTTTGCAGTTTAAATATGCTGCTGAAATATCAATCATTACATGAATTATATTGAAAGGTATATAGATACACAAAGTCCATTAAATCTGCATTCTTTATACATTTTGTGATCTGTCTCTAATAGCTTTTATGCTTTGTTTTGTTTTTACCTTGAAATGGCATATTTACTCTGGCAATGATTTCTCAAGTAAAATATTTATTTCTGCTACAAAACTGTTTTATTTGGGTATTTCCTAACACTTCAAATGTTTGTTTCATTAGCAAACATTTGTTCTCCCAGCAAATATTTCCAAAATGGACTATTACTTTCAAGGGTTTTGGCAACAGTGTAGTATGGGCAGTAGGTTTGGCCAACTGTCTTTCCATCTGCTACTCTTGGTTCCCTGCAATTTTTTCCCAGTTAGCCAGGAACACTTTAGAGATTCCAGTGGCTTCCTGGAAAAAAGCATATTTAAACATTTTTTTCCACTGAAATTCAGGCCTTTACAAAACTCCACACCTAGTAAAACAAGAGATTTTATACATCGCTCGAATCTTTTGAAAGTTGGTGAACTTTCCATAATATTCCCTTTTAAAGTGAATAGATAACTTAAAATATAATCTACTAGAATAATACATAAAGAGAATATTAGTTACACACTCACACATATGCACACACATATATACAGCTTTTGAATTAGAAACATAAAATTTGAAAGTTGAAAACTTGCTACTTAAATTTTCTAATAAAAATCCAAAGTAGTTTGTTTTCACTGACAGAATAAATGAACATATTCACAGATAAAAATATTCCCCCAGATTTTTAAAGATACAAAATAAGGGGAAAATATGTTATGATTATATGAATTTTCAACAATTTCTTAAATAGGAAATTTAAAAAAGTATAAATTTAATATTATTAAAATGCTATTATTCTATATGTGATTTAACTTAATTTTATTTAGATGTCTGATTTGACTACGTTAATGTACAAATTAAAAGTTAATTCAGTAAATGTATTCAATCAATGAAACCTTGATAATTATATAAATAGGGGAAAAGAAAAGGAGATTCAGGGTACGTTGATTTCTATTTTCATCACAGGAAAAGGGTAGCAAGTGCCATGTAGAAGTGAAATTGGCACCCACTTATTTTTCTACTTCTTTAAAACATACCTGTTAGAGCAATTTTTGCTATTGTCCTCATCTCAAGCATGTAAATAAGATCAGTCTCATTCTGGACTTCTGTCATAATGCTTCCCACTCCATATTCCTGATTCCCTCATTCGTTGGCTCTATCCTTCTCTACCATAAATCCCTTTGGCCTCTTTCCTTATGCATTCTTTCCTCTCTGACTTATTGAATTAAAAGCCCACTCTCCCAACTCCAAACACTGACTCAGCATGGCCTCTTGATTCTGAAGTACCTGAGGTTGCCTGCAGTGTTTGATAAGGGATTTTTTTTTCTTTTTTCTTTTCTTTTTTTTTTTCTTTAAAAGTTGATGTGGAAGAATTGCTACTGCAATTCAGACTCACAAGTAATTCTATTAGATAGTTTGTAAGTAGATATGAAGAAGTGGTACCTTTTTCTGATAGTATGAAATATTCTCTTATGAGGGCTTTAAAAGCCCAATACACCTTTTCCCCATCTGAATTCTGAAACATTTGAGACATAAAAGAATGGCAGCGCCAGATGGAACACATAATATTATCACAATCACTAATAAATCCAGGCTAGACTAGACTGTGAGCCAAGCTGACTTACCACACCACCTACCCTACTTTAGTTCTGACCTAAAATAGAAAACAAAGGACAATTTCATTTCTGTACTGAGTAGATATGCTAATGTAGTCCCTTGCTGTAGACATCCCTAATCCCCATTCCCTTTCTTTCTCTTCCTTCCTTCCTTCCTTCCTTCCTTTCTTTCTTTCTGATCCACCCGCCTTAGCCTCTCAAAGTGCTGAGATTACAGTCGTGAGCCACCACACCCGGCCGACTTTTTTCCTTTATATCCTTGAGCTAAGCCTTTAAATCTATGCTTAACCATGAATGATCTGTTGCTCTCAAAGTAGACTAACAGCAGAGTCCATCAGAGCAGTCCATCCCACATTTATGAAGAACTTCTCCTTTGAGCATTGGCCTAAGATGGCTAGTGAAAAACTGCTATTGAAGATTTCCGCCAAAAGAGCTCTGAAATAAATTAGAAGAATGTATTAATAAAATGCATAAATAAAATCGATTCCAGGATTCCTTTAATTATTCTCCAGTTGTCTTAATACCTACTTGTGTGAATAAAGCTTCCATATTTTGCATCCTAACTACCTGGTAATTTCTCCAAACCCTACACATTGCAAGAAATCACCTTCAATTCTGCCTGATTCCTTGGTACTTAAATCCAAGTACTCTCTAAATGACCACAAGTTAAACTTCAGCTTTTTTAATATATCTGCATAGGAAGGCATAAAGGATAAACCAAGTAAAATAATAGTGCAGAATAATTGAAGACATTCTGCTTATATCCACATCATAGAAGAAAGGAAATAAATAGACCAGTCAAGATTTAAGCATTAAAGTAGGCAGCATACATTGTAACCTTTGTTCACAAATTCATTTCTATTTGAAACACTATTTAGACATATTGCCAAAACTCATGTTTCAAATGACTACTGCAAAGTTCTTGCTGAAGATGCTCTGGAAGTAAATTTGACCAGATGCGCCTGGTTAAATCTCCATTTTCTCATGTAGGTAACTGATATTTTCACAGTAAAGACACCTAGTACTACCTTTTCTGCTTCTAACCAATTTTACAGCCTTTGCTTTCTAATTAGAATAATGGACATATATTGATAGTCAGTAATTGGTTGGAAAAATGCATCATTTTACAATTTTGAAAACACTAGTCATATGCTCTTCAGTAAGTCCTTGATCTCATGAAGACATGGTCATTTTACTTCTATTTTGAGACCCCCTAAGATTTTATCAGCCTCATTCTATTATGAGGCCCCCTAACATTTTATCCACCTCATTCTCTCTATGAATGTAGTTGAGATTTTTTTTTTCTCGCATTCTCCACTATCCCTCTCTTCTGTATACCTCTGTGCTTTTCAGTCTTGGACATTAGGTGTTCTGTGTTTGTTTATGGACAAATACATTTGTCCATCAAGTCCTGCAAATATAAATATGTAGCTGAAATGATTATAAGAAATATAACTTCTTAGGTTCTGGATCTTCAAGAGTATGGTTCCATTTAAACTTCAACTAATTTTCCATTGAGAATAGCTCAATTATATTAAGGTTTTGCCTATTCAGTGTGCTTTCCATAGTCCTAGATTATGCCCTCCCTATTTTTTCTCTAACTTTAGTCAATTCTGCTTGTGTCTTCCTCTATTTTTTCTAACTTCATACATCTCAGAAACACATTTCCTTAGTACCTGCATCTATGTTCATGATAACAAAGTAACTTTGAAGCCTGCCCACCAAGGACTTGAATATTTAAGGCTTATCACATAGCCTTCCTTCTCATATCTATCCAAATAGTATATAGCCATTTGGTGCTGGTATCCCATTCTTCAAGGATGGCTTGCTCAATGACTTACTGTGGAATCCATCCAAATGTTGAGAGGAATCTTTGCTGTGGTTTCCTGGGTCCCAGTTTCTTCTGAGAGAGTTAATGGGTTCTTCTTGCTTAAGTCTTTTCTTTTCCCAACATCTCTATTGGCTACTGGTACTTTTCTTCAGCTAGTAACTTCCCCAAATTATTTTTTGGTCTAATCTTTAACAACGTTCATTTTAACAGGTTTCAAATCATTGATTTATTCTCTCACTCTCTCTCTTCTTCTCTCCATCTCTGTCTTCCATAAATATCTAGTTATCTAGCTTTTGTTTTAAAAGCTTTGGACTCTCCAAGTTTAATGTACTTCTTTTTCATATTTGGGTGCTTCTTGAATTAATCTTCTATCACTTATACAACTAAGACTGTCATTTAGACTACTAACTTATGCCTGACAACATAATTTGGTGCCTTAAATATCTGTACTGCTTCTGGAAGATTGACATTCCAAGTACACACTTTCCTTAAAACATGTTTGTTACAATATTGTCATCACTGTATTATATATCACAATATACATATATAATACACTTTTAACATTATTTTGTTCTAAGTATTAGTAATATTTTCGTAGTAGGGACCTCCATTTTTAATATATTTTAATATATTTTAAGTTTTTTAATTTACCACATATCTGTGAGAGTAAAGTTCTCTGCTTTACTAGGAATGATAAACATATAGTACATGCTGGGGAAGTATGTTCCCAGAGGAAATGGGAAGGAGATAAGCCATACTGATTTCCTTGTAAGACCTATTTTTGTCTGTGTGTGCCCTGCATGTTTAAACTGAAGGCCAAAATATCCTCTAATGGTTTAGAGATTGTACTAAGAAACTGAACATAAAGTGTAAAACTAATTAATCTACCAAATCCTCATTAGGTATACCCACAGGCTATTTTAAAAGAAACATTAACAAAATCAAGAACATCCTCAAGGCCAATGATCCCATGTACCCTGGCTTCAGAAAAAAGTTATCTATGTCTTCTTTCCTGGCTCATGTGCCTAAAGTTGTGAGTTTAATGAGCAGATGAAAAGCACTGTCCTTCTTTGCTTTATTTTTGAATCAATTAAGAAATGAAGCAGCAGAAGGAGATTTGCAGCATCTTTTATTAGTAATAAAGCTAGAATGGAGAGCACACTTTTTGCATATGCCACATGGCCTACTGTACTGCTTATCTCCTGGGTCTTATCCCGGGACTAGCACATCTGAGGAAAAATTGGAGATGCAAAGGGATATCCTTACCCAACATAACCAGGTGGTGGAAGATGGAGAAGGGAAACCAAATTACCTTTGTCCAAAACTTTTAGCAGATTTGCCCCACTCGGTTGAGCACTGTGAAACAATACCTCAACCAGGAAATGTACTCCATGTTTGCAGGGCAGAATAAGGGGCAGAGTGGTGTAAGAGGCGAAGGGTACAGAAGAAATCCATTTATGTAGAAACTGCCCCATAATCTTTCTAAGACATTATAACTCTGCGTATCTCTTTCACATCCTGCCTGAGCCCAGTCAAAAAAAAAAAATTAAAAATAGTGCCATTATGAGGCTTTACTCTTTGAAGTATCAGCAAGCAGATTCTCCTTTATGTGGGGAAAAGCTCTGTATAACCTCCTACAAAAGGCAAGTGGTGTGAATAGGTAAACTGCAAGAGAATCGAAGGGAATTGAGTAATCTTGAGTTTCCGAGTTCTGCTAGTAACAGCTTGAATAAATAATAATTTATTTTTCAATGCAGTTTTTCTCCATGAACATTCGATCCCTGGATAGGATGACTCAAACATTATCTTGAAAAACTGTGAGATTAATAGGGGGAAAAAAAAAGAATTGTATAGTTTCAAGAGATGTAAGCCAGGTATCATTTTGACGCTTTTTTTTTTTTATTTATTCAAGTAACTTAGCCTTGGTTATTCAGTTTCAAAAATGGCAAAACATTTTCTGCCATTAATTACATTGTAATAAAAGGATCATACGAGATATTTTATTTGAGAAAATTTTGTTCACTAAAAAGCAAGCTCAATAAAACAGAATATTTGTCAATTTTTTCTAAATTTTTATAACCCAATATCTAAAATAGTTCCTGAGTCATGGTAGGTACTTAGGAAATATTTGTTGAAACAAAAAGAACTTGGAAACATACCTACTTAATCTGATAGCATGATCTTCGATGATCACATTGACCTAATATTGAAATTATTATCTTTCAACTTCTACTGTAGAAACTTTACTATGAGATATTATGAAAGATTTGGAAGACGGAGTAAGTATAACCAAAAACAATGATACAATGTAAATTACTGCAATAATTTTGTGATATCTAGTTTTTCAAACTATATGACTTATAAGATATAAAATATTTTGTGAAATAACTTGCAATGTAAAAAATGTTGTTCTACACCAAATATTCAAAAAAGTGCTTTGGTGTATATTTTCTTATATATCAAATATTCAGAAATGTAATTTTTAAGGAAAAGAATATTATAGTAGAACTTAGATTGCTTACTCTCACATATTTGTAGAAATACAATGTTGAAATGTAATTCTGTATACAAAAGCTCTAAGAATATTAACTTTGGATCTTAGTAATATGTCAGAAGGGGAAAATTAGATGTTAATTACCATATATAATTAGAGCTAACATATTTATATGTTCAATAGTTTAAAGGCCTTGTGTAAGCAGCACAAAAGAAGCAAACATTTATTAGTTACTTGAATTACAGATTGATTAAGGAGTTAATTATAATTCTCCCTCCCATTTCTTTTTCTTAAAAAAATTATTTTCTGTGGTCAGACGGGGAATCGTTTAGCTATGTTTGATTTTCTAGCAGGTTGCACACATTGTTTAAATTCACATACATTAATATGTGAACAATTATGACTTTTCAAGTGTTAAAACACTTGCAACCAGCTTTGTTCACTCAAAATAAATGTGTTTTAAGATTTATCCAGTACCAGTTACTCTTTTCTAAAAATGCTATTTTGTTTTGCTATGTATTCCTACTTGTGAGTTTTCAATTTAAACTTTAAGTTCTGTGAAGATTATGTTTGAAATTTGATTCAATGATAGTTTGCTGGATAGGGTATTCTTAGATGACAGCATCTTTTCTATCTTCTATTATTCTCTTGAGTCCTCTTATTATTGAGAAGTAGTCTGCCATAAGTCAAATGTTGATCTTTGGTGGGTAATTTGTTTTGTATAATACTGTATTTTTAATGAATCTGCCTCTGTTCTTGTTATTCTTAAGTTTCAAGATTTGACTAAGTATAGGTTTTTTGAATTGTTTTTCTTATTGCCTCTATAGAAATTACAAATTCTAGGAATGAGGTTTTATTTTTAACCAATTTATGGAAATTCACAAACATTAACTCTTCAAATATGACCTACTCCCCAGTGTCTTCTATTTATTTTCTTTCGCATTCTCTTATTACACAAAAACTGAACCTTCACGATGTGTACTTATTTCTTAAACACTTCTGTTTCTTGCAGTATTCACTTTATGCCACTTTTATGCATTATGTGTAATGTCTTCAGATTTTTCTTTCAACTTAACAATTCTAACTTCAAATGAGGCTAATATTTTGCATAAATTGTCTTTGAATTTAAACTTGAATGGTTAATTATATAAATTTCTATTTGAATATTTTCCCACACCTAACAGTAGTGTTTAATATCTTATTCTTAGTCTGTGCTCCAAGAAAACTAATGGATTATTTGTTAAAAGTTGAAGAAAATCAAGCGAAGAATTATCTCAAAGCTGCTGTCTAGTGAGTGCCTACTATATGCTCAAAAGTCTACTTTTTTGGCAAGTCATAAAATAGCTCTGTGAGGATATCACTATTATCCTCTTTTTACATTTGAAAAAACTGAGTCTCAGATGTTCTAAGATTAAAACTGGGCTGCTCATACCTCTGGGATTATCCTGAGACTTTCCAAAGCATGTATGATCACAGACAGTAGTGAAGGGATCAATTTCCTTATCTAATTGTTCCATATTTTTTCTTAAAATGTATTTTGATGAAATGTTTGGTTAATTACTTTCATCTTTTTTTTTATTTTTATTTATTTATTTATTTTTTAGTATTTATTGATCATTCTTGGGTGTTTCTCGGAGAGGGGGATTTGGCAGGGTCATAGGACAATAGTGGAGGTAAGGTCAGCAGATAAACATGTGAACAAGGGTCCCTGGTTTTCCTAGGCAGAGGACCCTGCGGCCTTCCGCACTGTTTGTGTCCCTGGGTACTTGAGATTAGGGAGTGGTGATGACTCTTAAGGAGCATGCTGCCTTCAAGCATCTGTTTAACAAAGCACATCTTGCACCGCCCTTAATCCATTTAACCCTGAGTGCACACAGCACATGTTTCAGAGAGCACGGGGTTGGGGGTAAGGTTATAGATTAACAGCATCCCAAGGCAGAAGAGTTTTTCCCAGCACAGAACAAAATGGAGTCTCCTATGTCTACTTCTTTCTACACAGACACAGTAACAATCTGATTTCTCTTTCTTTTCCCCACATTTCCCCCTTTTCTATTCGACAAAACCACCATCGTCATCATGGCCCGTTCTCAATGAGCTGTTGGGTACACCTCCCAGACGGGGTGGCGGCCGGGCAGAGGGGCTCCTCACTTCCCAGAAAGGGCAGCCAGGCAGAGGCGCCCCCCTACCTCCCTGACGGGGCGGCTGCCAGGCGGGGGCGGGGGCTGCCCTCCACCTCCCTCCCCAGACAGGGCGGCTGGCCGGGCGGGGGCTGCCCCCCACCTCCCTCCTGGACGAGGCGGCTGCCGGGCAGAGGGGCTCCTCACTTCTCAGACGGGGTGGCCGGGCAGAGACGCTCCTCACCTCCCAGACGGGGTGGCGGTCGGGCAGAGGTGCTCCTCACATCCCAGACGATGGGCAGCCGGGCTGAGATGCTCCTTACTTCCCAGACGTGATGGCGGCCGGGAAGAGGCGCTCCTCACTTCCCAGACTGGGCGGCCGGGCAGAGGGGCTCCTCACAACCCAGACGATGGGTGGCCAGGCAGAGACGCTCCTCACTTCCCAGATGGGGTGGCGGCCTGGCAGAGGCTGCAATCTCGGCACTTTGGGAGGCCAAGGCAGGCGGCTGGGAGGTGGAGGTTGTAGCGAGCCGAGATCACGCCACTGCACTCCAGCCTGGGCAACATTGAGCACTGAGGGAGCGATACTCCGTCTGCAATCCCGGCACCTCGGGAGGCCGAGGTGGGCAGATCACTCGCGGTCAGGAGCTGGAGACCAGCCCGGCCAACACGGCTAAACCCCGTCTTCACCAAAAAATACAAAAACCAGTCAGGCGTGGCAGCGCATGCCTGCAATCCCAGGCACTCGGCAGGCTGAGGCAGGAGAATCAGGCAGGGAGGTTGCAGTGAGCCAAGATGGAGGCAGTACAGTCCAGCCTCCGCTCGGCATCTGAGGGAGACGGTGGAGAGAGAGGGAGAGGGAGACCATGGAGAGGGAGACGGAGAGGGAGAGGGGGAGGGGGAGGGGGAGGGGTGGAGGAGGGGGAGGGGAGGGAGAGGGGGAGGGGAGGGAGAGAGAGAGGGAGAGGGAGAGGGAGTTTTTAAAACCATTTTTAGTTCTCTCTTAGTTATCCTATGACACATGTACTGGGTGTCACTAATTCTACTTGTTATATCGTCTGAGCACACATTGTAGAATGTGTATATTCTGTGACATTTTATGAAAAATTAGTACTTTTAATAATTTTAGATAGTTTTATTATCTAGTGTTGCAGGAATATCTTTAAGGATGATATTTTTATTTGTACCTGGCTGTGGTCAGGATATACCATACTTGGAAAAGTTTCTATGTACTTTCTTGTCTTAGATTTTCTTGGTCCATGTAGCTAATGTAAACAGGAGCCCCAAAGGTAATGAGGCGCATATGAGAGGTGAAAGAGATTAATTTTGCATCTTCTGTACTATGTAGTGCTTTATTTATTTATTTATTTATTTTTATTGTTATGCCTGTTCACAGAGTGTACCTACTTCCAAATGCAATCTAGACTCAGGAACCCTGGTTCCATTTACTGCCTGATCCAATCCCAAGGCCTCATCTTCTGTCCCGATGGTAGAATCAAATCCAACTCCCAGATTAGCCACAGTGTCTTACAGATATATCTTACTTGTTGTTGTTGTTGTTTTCCCCTCTTTTTAAAAATCAAGCCTGAGGCTGGGTGCAGTGGCTGACGCCTGTAATCCCGGCACTTTGGGAGGCCGAGGCGGGCGGATCACGAGGTCAGGAGATCAAGACCATCCTGACTAACACGGTGAAACCCCGTCTGTACTCAAAATACAAAAAATTAGCTGGGCTTGGTGGCGGGCACCTGTAGTCCCAGCTACTCCGGAGGCTGAGGCAGGAGAATGACATGAACCCGGGAGGCGAAGCTTGCAGTGAGCCGATATCGTGCCACTGCACTCCAGCCTGGGAGACAGAGCGAGACTCCGTTTCAAAAAAAAAAAAAAAAAAAAAAAGAAAGAAATTTGCCGTATCTTACTTGAGAGCGCAACCTTACATTTAAATTATTTGCTGCTGTCTTTTGAAGATCATTATAAATTTTTACTATTATCTTAGAATGTTTCAGAACAATATTTTAGTTAAGTTTATAAAGGAATGAAGGAATAAAATAATGACTGATTTTGATTCCTGGAATCGTTTAATATTTGACATTTGGGGATTAGAGGAGAGGTTAAAATAAAACACTCAGTGAGGAAAAAAGAAAACCAAAATTGTGGTTTCCCAGAAGCAAAATGAAGAACATATTTTGAGAAAGAAATATCAATACTGCCAAGGGATACTGAGAAATAAATTATGAATAACGAACATTAGATTTGGGCAAAATTGAGGCAATTGGTAACCTTGAGAAGTTAATTCTGTTGGAGCAATTCAGTTCATTCAATGTAAAGAAAGCAAAATACGTGAGCACAAAGTAGAATTGTTTGAGATATGGCAGTGAATAGATGGTTTTTCATTGTTTCTATTTTCTTTTTTAATGAAATAAGAATAAGCTCATCATTCTGAAGATGAGAAACAGGGAGAGTGCATTAGAGGTTTGAGAATTGAATAATGTTGTAAAGCAATTATTTCAGAGTGTGGGAGACTTAATTGCCTAAGCAAAGAAAATAAAGAGTTCAAGGTAGGATGGAAGGTCTACTTGAGATTTGTGTGTTTAGATTTAAAATAAGTCCTTCAACATAGTCCTAATTTTTACTCTAGCTATATTCCCTTTCTTGAGCACAAGCACAGAGGAGATGAAATGTTGAGTATAAACAGGTTCTAGTTTTGCATGCCAATATGAGGTAGTTAAAGAGAGAGATAGGAGCTAAATCTATATTCTAGGGAATGAATGCAGTTCTTGCAAATGAAACCTAAGTTTAATAAAAAGGAATACGAGAATGTGAAAGGACTGGCGAACAATTATATAAAACATCCATATCTTGTAGGATCTCTGGAAGTAAAACTTTTTGGAGTGTGAATAATATATTAAAAATAAGTGATGTGGAACATTCTGAAGTTGCAATTAAAGATTAGGAAGTGTAAACTCACTTTCTATATTATAGTTCTTGGTTTTGAGAAGGTCTAGTGTCTAACTTTGGTAGAAAATAGCTGAACTCAAGTGGAGAAAAAGAATGTTGGAAATAAGATCAAAGAAGTAAGAGACTAGGATGTTAAATGGATAATCCAGTAGAAAGTACTAGCACCACTAATAATGATAATAATTGTGGGAATAGTGGTTACAACAGTTTTCAAGAAATGAGAGAAGTTTTGCATTGATCATAACTCAAGTTATTATCACAAGATGTTATTTCAAAGGAGTCAGGATAAAGTCTGGAATTGTGAGGAAAAACATGGAGGAATCTCTTCATCTTCAGGGGTTATGATATTTGGGATGTTGATATTAAAATAATGAATTCTTGTGAAGGCTGCAGGGATTTTGGTCAGATTAACATGGCATAGAAAGATTCAGAGAAGAGCTGAAGATTATGAAGGATTAAGCAGGATAGGGCAAGAGTTTCTGAGGGTAAAGTTGAAAGGTTGGGGAGTTCGGGAAATTTTCGAGGGGTGGATTGCGAATACTAAAAAGGTATTTGAAGGTGGCAGTGTGGATTATAATTGAGGACCTAGAAAAGTTGTATTTCTGGTTATGATTGAGCTAAAAAAAAGTGACGTATAATGTAGTTCCTCTAATGGTTTTTTAAGAAAAGGCAGGCAAGCATTTTTTTTAGAGCCTTTTTATTCAGATAACTTCTTATGTAGCCAAATCAATACCCATACATTCTGCCAAATACATGGCATTCTTGCCATCTTGATTAAATTCAGGGGCACATTGATCTCTGAGGGCTGTCAAGGGTGAAATAGCTGTGTGGCACCCAGAGTCTTGTGTTCCACCTGAAATTCTGCTTAGGATGGAGCACACGAGGGTATACCAAGGGAAGATGAATCTTTGGGATCACAAACAGCTCTGTGGAATCACAGAGAGATTCTTTCACTTGTCCTATAAGGCAGTGTTACAGCAGGGAAAGTGTGGGGTCATGTTAGGAGGATATGCAGCTCTGTGGGACATTTTGTATCTTGCTCTTAATGAATACTATTTATTACTCCTGAAACTAGTATATGCATGCTGCGTGTTCTAATTTTTCTCTCTGTATCCTGATTTCCGTTTAACATTTTTGTCTAGTTGTATACCTGAATTCTAGATAATGTCTTAGATTGATCTTCTGATTGTCTAACTCTTTCTTCAGTGCCACGTATACATACATACATACAAATATATATACAAGTATATACGTATATGATTTATGTATATATGTGTATATATAGATGATTTAGAATTGCAAATTATATATACATACATACAGATATATATGTATGTATATACATCTATACCTGTACATACATCTATACATCTGTATGTATGTATATATAATATTTGCAACATACATCTATACATCTATATGTATGTATGTATATATATAAAATTTACAATTATAAGTCATCATTGGTAAAATCGTGCCAGTTAGAAAGATATGCACTAGAGTTAGCGTTATAGTGAGAAAACACAAATAAAGTAGTGGTTGCCCTAGAGGAATAACAATTTTACATTGAAAAGACCCCATGAGAACTACTTTGTGTACAGAAGTATGATTCTTGTAATGTTTCTTGTCTCCAGGGTTTGGTCAAAGATTAGTCGTCACCAACCAGGGTCTGGACTAAACCTCCTCATTCTGGGCAGGGTGTGGTAGCTCATGCCTGTAATCCCAGCACTTTGGGAGGCTGAGGTGGGCAGATCACAAGGTCAAGAGATCCTGGCCAACATGGTGAAACCCCGTCTCTACTAAAAATACAAAAATTAGTTGGGCCTGGTGGCGCGTGCCTGTAGTCCCACCTACTTGGGTGGCTAGGCAGGAGAATTGCTTGAACCCGGGAGGCAGAGGTTGCAGTGAGCCAAGATCGCACCGTCACACTCCAGGCTGGTGACAGAGCGAGACTCTGTCTCAAAAAATAAATAAATAAATAAATAAAACAAAGTAAAAAATAAAGTCAAAAACCTAAAATAAAAGAAGTTGTCACGGATACAAATTAAAAAAATAAATTCCCAAGAAGGTTTTGAAATGGAAATCCTGGGCAAAATTTGCCCAAAAGATATAATTCCGAGAAAAATCCTTCTGAACTTTTCAATTCATGGGGCCAAATCAATAACTAATTTATAGGATCTCTTTCTACTAGCATTTTTTCTTATACAAAAATAACATTTATGATACCAGACAGCAGAAGAGGCATTAGATATAGACGTTAGATATCAGGAAATGATTTCAACAAAGTACAATACAAATCAGGTTATATATAAACAGTCCTTCAAAGGAACCTATTCCTAGGAAAATAAACTCAATACTGAAGACATTCAATTAAATATTATAGCTCAATTCATTGTGGTGTACATTAGGAAACTTCAGTGGGTAGAAACACAAGGTGTCTCATATGCACATTTAATTGAGTGAGAGTCTTAGTCAAAGGCACAGAGTATTTCGCTAATTCTTAATGATTCTCCAATTCTGTCAATGTTGAAGGACAAAATTGAAGACTTTAGAAGACATCCACAGACCTGAAGAAAAGCCCTTTAGCCAACTTTTCATATGTGTAAACTAGAAATAATTGTCTAATATAAGCTACTGAGATTTGGGGATGGTTTTTTATACAACATTATTGCTACAGTGCCTGATTGATAGAGCTAAGAATATCAGAAATATGTTTTATTGCATCCATAAAGATTATAAACCTTGAGTAATCATAGTATATGGCTGAGAGTAGAGAGGTAAGACTTTTGGGTTATAGAAGTAAAGTATATATTATTTACTAGATATACAGAACATATATTAACTCTATCAACATGACCTGCTTTTATTCCTAGTCTCCCAAAGTGAATTCTGCAGAACACACTCCGTTGAATATTCATAATTTTAAAAGCTGTGTGGCCAAATTGTTGTTTTACATGTTGTATAAAGAATAACAAAAAAGGCCAGGCGCGGTGGCTCACACCTGTAATCCCAGCACTTTGGGAGGCCGAGGCAGGCGGATCACGAGGTCAGGAGATCGAGACCATCCTGTCCAACATGGTGAAACCCCGTCTCTACTAAAAATGCGAAAAAATTAGCCGGCCTGGTGGCGGGCGCCTGTAGTCCCAGCTACTCCGGAGGCTGAGGCAGGAGAATGGCCTGCATCCGGGAGGCGGAGCTTGCAGTGAGCGGAGATCGTGCCACTGCACTCCAGCCTGGGCGACAGTGTGAGACTCCGTCAAAAAAAAAAAAAAAAAGAAGAATAACAACAACAACAACAAAAAAAACAGGCACCATCAGTCCAGGGATTTCTTGGGGTTTTGCTTTATTTCTTCTGATTCTGATTACACTTTCTCATCCTTACCACCTTTATTCTAGGCTATTTTTCCCTATGCATTTAGCATTTATATGTATCTGGTTAAAAAACTTGACCAAATTATCACAGGGATTGGGAATTTTTCAAAATTTCCTATCCATTTTGTTTTTAATATCTTCAATCTTATGGAATGAATTGTGTCTCCCCCTCACTGACCCCCAACCAAAATTCATAGGTTGAACTTATAATTTTTAATGTTACTGTATTTGGAGATAAGGACTTTATGGAAATAATTTAAGTTAAATGAGGTCTTCAGGGTGCGACAATAATCCAATAAAACAGGCGTCCTTATAAGAACAAAAAGAGACACGAGGAGCATGTGCATTCAGAGGAAAGGCCATGTAAGTACACAGCAAGAAGGCAGACATCTGAAAGCCAAAGAGAGATGCCTCACCAGAAACCAACCAAGTCAGCACATTGATCTTGAAATTCTAGACTCCAGGAATGTAAGAAAATAAACGTCGGTTGTTTAAGCCACCCAGTATGTGGTATTTTGTTATGTCAGGATAAATGTCTGTGGTTTAACCCACCCAATCTTTGGCATTTTGTTATGCCAGCCCTAGCAGACTTAACACATGCAATTAGATGCTTGAACATATCTGAAATATAACATGATTAAAACTGTATCATTGATTTTCCTTATCACTGTACTTTCTTCCCCATCCCAGGCAATTAAAACTACATCCAACCAGTGGCTCATAAATATATTTATACTTATATTTGAATAATCTGTTTCTTTTATACCTCCCAATATGCAATTTATAGCAAGTTCCTGCTTAATTCCATTATACCCCAAATTGATTTGTCTATTTTTCTCTCTTGCTGCCAATCAATTCCAAATCACCCGTACCTCTCACCAGTACTACTACAATAGCTTCCTCACCAATTTCCCTCATTCTACTTCTACTCTCCCATAATTTGACCTCCATAGAGTTATCATTGTAATATTTGGGAAATATAAGCCACACCATGTCACAATGCTGCCACTCCTCTCAATGATTTCCTATTGATAAAGGCCTTTCCCAACCTCATTTTTTACTCCTCCATGTCTTGTTCACCACACTCATTCACAAGGTCCTTTTCTCTGTGCTGATAAATCACCAGGTTCCTCCCATTTCACTCCTACTCTGTTCTTGCATGGAGTGTCCTTTTACCAGAGCCCTAAGTCCTAGCCCAAATATCGCCTTCTTAAAAAAGGACTTAATAACTTTCTTATATAAAGTTTTCCTTTATTGTCAATATCTCTTTAGCTTTTATCATGTTTCTTTATGAGTTCCTTCTTAACATTTAACATTATCTGAAAATATTTTCTAGTTCTTGATAGTCAGAAGGTTTTCAATAAATATTTATTGAGTAAATACATGAATAACTATTCAAGAGTTATGTTCTTCCAGCAATGCAAACATGATAGGACTGGAAAAGTATATGGGTATAAGGACAGAAGGCATATAATACATGCATACACATATGTATGTGTATATATGTGTGTCTATGTATATCTACCCGAAACAGAATTCTTTTCGTTGAAAGTGAAAGAAGGAAAAACAAAAGGGGGAACTTAGAATAGTGGGATATTGAAGGAATTTGGGGACAAATCATCTTAAAGAACAATGAAAGTTGGGCTTTGGGATCAATTATAAGTAAACATTTGGATAAAGTCTGACCTACCTTCCTTCCTTCCTTCTTTTGCTCTCACTTACGTTTCAGTATATGGGTTTTATTTTACTTTTTTGAAAATTGAAGGAGTCAAAACTATTGTTAACTTAAAAGTTTCATATCTGGAAGAAATTTTTTTAATTCCAGTTTGAAAATTCTGAGAGTTTAATCTGAGTGAGTATGTTAGTGTCTGTAGCTTGTCCGTACGCCACCATAGCTAGAAAAGTGGGGCCATGTAAGACTGTGGAATCCCAATGACTATCATGGAGATACACAGATATGTTGGGGGAAGGGAGGAAAAGAGAGCCTAATTTCCAGAAGGGACAGATGCTGGTAGTACCATACCATTCATGCCCTTTTCAACAGTTACAAAAATAGTTATGTGCTAAAATGATCTCCAACAGAGTCTAAATCATAGGGATCTGCAAAACTACCGTACAGCCCCACTCTGTTCATTCAATATGCTTGGTATAAAACCTATACCTAAGAAACGTGAGCCTGCCAAAGGTTTAACATTGAAACTATTCATTACTGCTTATTCTAATTCAATACAGAAAAAAAGTATGTTCTTTATGTAGATGTGTAGATGATACTTTAATAAAAAATTATAAGATATCACATTGAAATAAGACCATTTGGTTAAAACATGATATATGATATATATTATTTTAGTAGTAAAAATGATAAGATGTCTATTTCAGGATAATCTATAAATAAAGTTTGATTAAAATCTATTGTTTATATAAATAAAGGGAGAAAAACATCCTCATTCTTTTTTTGTACACAAAATAAATTAGTTGTAATGAAAATAACTAACTACCATTAGCTTAGTTCTATAATGCAATTTTAAGAAAAGCCCAAGGTGACTTAGCATATTTTAGAATTCATTTATTTCACTTTGGGATGAACTTTTTACTCTGTGATTTGAAAGCAGCACACTTCCTGTATTCCATTGTTTTGATGTAAAAGTGGATCATAAAATGATTGTGTGATGAAAAATAGCTTATACCATTATATTCCTGCCCAACTGGAACTTTGCTTTAATATAGTTTTATCCTTTGATTAATGTTCCATCAAGGTGGAAGTCACATTGTGATTTCTGTTCTTGATAACATAAATCATGATCATAGTAAACGTAAACTTTCAGAACAATATCTATTTGTTATGCTTTGTTAGGTGATGGACACTATGGTATTTAACTATGACATAAATCTTTTCTCTATTCAGTACAAAGCTACCTTGAACTAAAGCTCTGATGATAAAATACATGATGGAAGAACATAGTTAGATTTGCCTGTCCAGTGATTTAGATGCCTTTGTTTCAAGAACAGTATTTATTTAAAAATATAAACATTGTCTAAAAGCCTCGTTTCCAGTACTTTGTATACAGATATTTTTTTCTAAGTTAACCTAAAACACTTTATATTAATTTTGAATCTGAGATTATATTTCATTTTATGTGCTTTCTACATAAAAAGACATTAATATCTCACAATAGGAGTGTGTTATATATTATTTCTAAGAAACAGATTGGAAAATGGAGGACGAAAGCTATCAAATTACCACATGAATGACTAGAAAATAGTTTTTTTTTTTAAGTATTCAGTGCTTTCTGTCTTGTTTTATTTTCTTCTGTCCTATTCCGGGAAAACATTTTGCTTCTTTCATAATATTTATGCATGGAAATATATGTAAATTTGAAAGTAAAACTGTCTTGATTAAATGTCAATTGGTATCTCTGCTTCATTGTCTTTCTACAGCTTTAGGATAAATTCTCATGACACTCTTTACTTATCTTACCTATGTCAAATACCCCCCAAAATATAAATAATTAATGGGTATTCATGTTTCTTATGTCAATCTTTCATGTTTTGGTCAGCATAATTCATAGATGGCCGAAGATTTCTCACTCTACCCTGCCAATTACGTTACGTGATATGACACAGTGGACCTTAACCTAGGTGGATTATATAAGACAAGGGGGCCTAACATCACCGCACAAATCTTTTAAAAGAAGAAAGGTTTGGCCAGTCACGGTGGCTCTTGTCTGTAATCCCTGTGCTTTGGGAGGCTGAGGCAGGTGGATCACAAGGTCAGGAGTTCGAGACCAGCCTGGCCAATATGGTGAAACTCTGTTTCTACTAAAAATACAAAAATTAGCCGGGTGTGGTAGCGGGTGCCTGTAGTCTCAGCTACTTGGGAGACTGAGGCAGGAGAATTGCTTGAACCCAGGAGGCGGAGGTTGCAGTGAGCCGAGATTGTGCCACTGCACTGCAGCCTGGGGGACAAAGCAAGGCTCTGTCAAAAAAAAAAGAAGAAGAAGAAGAAGAAGAAGAAGAAGAAGAAGAAGAAGAAGAAGAAGAAGAGGAAGAGGAAGAAGAAGAAGAAGAAGAAGAAGAAGAAGAAGAAAGGTTTCTCCAACTGTTAAGGGAAATGAGAGAAAATTGGAAAGTAAGAAGGGTTCTTTACTGCTGAGATTGAGGAGGAGACACATGATAAGGACTTTAGGGTCGTTCTTGAGAAGCTGAGAACTGACAGTCTGCAAGAAAATGGGAATCTCAATCTAATATCCACAAGGAATTAGACTCCACCAGAAACCTGAAAGAGCTTGAAGGTCAATTGTTCTCCAGAATATCCAGAGAAGAGCTTGGCCTGACTGACAACTTGCTTTAAGACTCATGATAACTTAAGTAGATAATTCAGCACTGCCTTTTTGGGACATTTGACTTACAAAAACTGTGTGATCATGAATCAGTATTGTTTTTAAGCTGCTGAAATTGTACTTTGTGACAAAAGAATAAGAAACAAATATATATACTTGCATATAACTTTGTAAGTGTAGGCAGCAAATCTATATTGTCATGCATTGCTTAATGACAGGAATAATTCTGAGAAATGACTCATTAGGTGATGTTGTTGTTTTGTGCAAACATCATAGAGTATACTTCCACAAACCTTAACGGTAGAGCCTACTACTTACCTAGCCTATATGATATAGCCTATTGATCCTAGGCTGTAAATCCAGTTATTGTACTGAATACTCTAGGGAACTTAACGTAATTGTATCTGTGTATCTAAACAGAAAAGGGTACAATAAAAATAAAATAAATTATAATATTATAATAAAATTATAATTTTATGAGACCACTATCATATATGTGATGTCATTGACCAAAATGTTATTATTCAGACTGTAGTATCTTCTACAATATCCACATTGTTTAGCATAATATGTTGGATATATCAATGTTAAATAAACATTTGCCAAATAAATAAATAACTATGTCCAGACATAAAAATATTCTAGATATGATTGTGGTTTCTGGTTAGAATTAAGTTTCTTTGTTCTGAAATTATAACTTTTTGGACCCTCCATATGTGATAGGCAGTATATTAATTGTTCTACTTGTATTATCTCATTGAATTCCCACAATTATCCTATAAGAAAGATACTATTACAGTCAGTCTGTCTGAGTGACAAATATTGGTCTTAGAGAGAATATGGAAATTTTCTGAGGTGATTCAATGGTGAAAATTAAATTTCATCTCAGATGTGTTAAACTCAAAAGTCCTGTGATCAGTCATGTACTTGAAATTATAAACTCTTTCACAGAGACAAGTACACATTGTTTGTGCTGTGTTCAAGCCATTAATTCAGTGCCTACTCTTTTGTATGTATTTGATTGAGAGGATATATTACTTATGTAAGATATCATATTGAAAAATGAAACACAAATATTTATTTAAATGCATCCTTGTCTCTCTCCTTCCCCATCCCTCCCCTTCATTCCTTTCACTCTTTCTTTTTTTCTTTGCTACTATTTGCTAGTCAATTAAATCATTAAAGAGTTGCTGGCATCAAAGATTATATGGGATTAGTGGAGTTAACATCTTATATAAATGACATAAATAGCAACAAATACCTTACACCTCCTTCATTTCTCCTTCTATCTTTGATGCTGCAAGAAAGAGCAAGGAGGGCCACGTTTCCTTTTTTATACAGTAAGTGCCAAACATTGAAGAATTGATAGTGGTCTAGCTTACTGTCCATATTTGGGGTTGGGAGAAGCACAGAACATTTTTGATTGGACAAGTAGAAGAAAGTAATTAGATTGGCTATTAAATTTGCGATGGCAGAATGACTTCTTAAAAAGGACAGTAATAAATCTAACAGCTTATTTGTTCTGTGTTTGAACAGAGCTCGTCCATATAACTTCATAGATCATAAACTGTATGAACTGTATGAATCCATGAATGGCATCCCCTAGATTTCTACAACACACAAATTGTAGAATTGCACCTAAATAACTTGGATGGATCCTGTTGTACTATCAAGAAAAATATTAATCTATTCTTTTTATTGTGTTGCCTTTTAGAATGTGGTAATGCCATGGAACCCCTTCCCTTGACGAAATAAACTAAAATATTGACCACTATGAATGTGTGATTATAATACTTGTAAGGACTGTTTTTAAAAGTGTCAAAGAAAATCACATCCTCAGATGATTCTCAGAGTGCGTGTTCACTATGAATCTGATATGAGTTAAGACAGATGAAACATGAGAGATGGTTCTGCACTCTCAAACATCCCATTCTTCACCATTTTCCCTTCTCCATTGTTTCTCTCCTCTGCTAGCAGTATATGAAGAGCCCACTATAAGATACTGATTTATAACAATAATTATAAACTAATAAATTTAGTTATCTCAAGGTAAAAATAAGATATGATTTAATGTGCTAATTAGGGGTAAGGCATTAGTGTTAGTAAGAAGAGGGAATACATTTGTGTTGAAAGATATTCAGATTATACTTGAAGCCAGTTAGGAGTGTTAAGAAAAATCCTGGGTGTCTAATGTAAAATACATAAATCAAAGGTACTGGATAAATACTGTGGTTACAAAAACAAACAAAAATACCAAACGATCAAGTAATTTATTATGAAGAAATAGGCCAGGGTGGTGGCTCACGCCTGTAATCTCAGCACTTTGGGAAGCTGAGGCTGGTGGATCACTTGAGTTCAGATGTTCAAGCCCAACCTGGACAACATGGTAAAACCCCACCTCTAAAAGATATACAAAAAGAACTAACAAATAACCAGGCATGGTGCTGCACTCTTGTAGTCGCAGCTACTTGGGAGGCCCACGAATTCGAGGCTGCGGTGAGCTATAATCGTGCCACTGTGCTCCAGCCTGGGTGACAGAAGAAGTCCCTGCACTCCCAGCCCCCACAGAAAGAAGTAAAATATGGTTAGATGACACATTTCTCAAGAAGCAATGCTACTGAAATTTCAAATTGCACAATTCAGAAAATATCTGGGGCCAAGATGGCTGTCTCTATGCAGCCAGGTGGAACAGCTGCCATGGAAGGACCAGGATGACTGGCGGCACTTCTAACAGATCTTCAGATGGAAAGCACTGAGAGTGGACAGAGGGAAGATACAGAAGCTGGGTGAAGGAGGAGGAAGTCGGGAGCCCTGGACGGGGCTACTGTGCACTGGTACTCATTGCTGGCTCCCAATAATTCCTGGAGAACTGGCAAAGAACAACCTACTTACACCTCTGCACTCTGGAACCCTGGAAGGAGGAGACCCCTTGACCACCAGAGATAATTGAGTTGGCAGGGAGAGCTCCTTAGACAAGTAGTAGGGGCAGCTGACCAGCTGTTGAAGAGCGAGGAGGGTTTGCCATGGGAGCATCCCTACTGGAGCATGGCCGAGGACATCCATCCCCCTTGGCTTGACTGGTTCCCATAGGAGAATTTAGCTCTAGGGGAACTATTGGACTGAACTGTGCAGAGCAGCCTTGCCCCTCAGGGGCCAGTCCAACCTGAGCAGCCTTGGTCTGTGGGTCTCTCCTGGGGCCACAGCCTGGCTGAACCTGCTTGCAGTGCAGCCTCAGGTTCCCTGGGGACCTGCATCATAGCTTCTTTGCTAGAAGACAGTACTTGATCAGCTGAGAGCTCCAGCAGGGCAACCCTTGCAGCCATACACCAGCCTGCTCACTCTCTCCTCTGCTGCAGCTTACCCCCCGGGCCACAGTCACCCTGCACATCATTTTGTCAGCATGTGTATAGGCAGGTGGATTTTGCCTTCTCTGCCCCACCAGCATGCATGTGTGCATGCACCCTGCCCTGCCACTGCTGCTGGTGGGAGTGCACTTCTCTCCTCAACTCCCACCTTATCACCATTGCAGTCAGAGCCTTAGCAGGCACACAGTCACCAGCCCTGCCCCTGCCAGGAACCCAGCAATTTCATATTTGGCCATACTAAGCTTCTTAAGTAAAGGAGAAATAAGATCCATTCCAGACAAGCAAATGCTGAGAGAATTCATTACCACCAGACCTGCCTCACAAGAGCTTCAGAAGGAAGCACTAAATATGGAAAGGAAATATCATTACCCGCCACTACAAAAACACAGGTAAGTACACAGACCAGGTGGCACTATAAAGCATCCACAAACAAGTCTTCATAATAACCAGCTAACATCATGATGATAGGATCAAATCCACACATATCAATACTAACCTTGAATGTAAATGGGCTAAATGCCCCAGTTAAAATGCACAGAGTGGCAAGCTGGATAAAAATCCAAGACAGCAACCGTATGCCATCTTTAAGAAACCCATTTCACATGCAGTGACAACCATACGCTCAAAGTTAAGGAGTAGAGAAAAATCTACCAAATAAATGGAAAACAGAAAAAAGCAGGGGTTGTAATCTTATTTTAGACAAAACAGATTCTAGACCAACAAAGATTTTCAAAAAGACAAAGAAGGGCAATACATAATGATAAAGCATTTGATTTAATAAGAAGACCTAACTATACTAAATATATATATACACCCAACACAGGCGCACTCAGATTCATAAAGAAAGTTCTTACAGACCATTAAAGAGACTTAGACTCAAACACAATAATAATGGGATACTTCAACATACCACTAACAGTATTAGACAGATCATCAAGGCAGAAAATTAACAAAGATATTCAGGACCTGAACTCAGTACTGGATCAAATGGACCTGATAGACATCTACAGGATTTTCCATCCAAAAACAACAAGCTATACATTCTTCTCATCACTACATGGTTCATACTCTAAAATCAACCACATAATCAGATATAAAATAATCATCAGTGAATGCAAAAGTTATCATACCAAACACTCTTACAGACAACAGCAGAATAAAATTAGAAATCAAGACTAAGAAAATTGCTCAAAACCAGACACTTACATTGAAATTAAATAACCTGCTCTCGAATGACTTTTGGGTAAATAATGAAATTAAGGCAGAGAGCAAGAAGTTCTTTGAAACTGATGAAAACAAAGATAGAACATACCAGGATCCCTGGACACAGCTAAGGCAGTGTTAAAAATAAAATTTACAGCACTAAATGCCCTAACATCAAAAAATTAGAAAGACTTCAATTTAGGACCCTAACAACACAAGTAAAAGAACTCAAGAACCGAAAGCAAATCAACACCAAAGCTTGCAGAAGACAAGATATAACCAAAATCAAAGCTGAACTGAAAGAGAATGAGACATGAAAAATCACTTAAATGATCAGCAAATCCAGGAGTTGTTTCTTTGAAAAAAAAAGTAATAAAATAGTTAGATCACTATCTAGACTAATAAAGAAAAGAGAGAAGATTCAAATAAACACAATTAGAAATGACAAAAGGTATATTACCACTGACCCCACAGAAGTACAAATAGCCATCAGGGAATATTATGACCACCTCTATGCACACAAACTGGAAAATCGAAAAGAAAAGAATACATTCCTGGACACATACACCCTCCCAAGACTGAACCAGGAAGAAATCGAATCCCTAAATGCACCAACAGTGATCTCCAAAATTAAAACAGTAATAAATAACCTACCAACCAAAAAAAGCGCAGGACCAGGTCAATTCATAGCTGAGTTTTACCAGATGTACAAAAAAGAGCTAGTACCATTCCTACTGAAACTACTTTAAAAAAAAAAAGAGAAGGATGGATTCCTCCCTAAGTCATTTTATGAGGTATCATTCTGATACCAAAACCTGGCAGAGATACAGGAAAAGAAAACTTCAGGCCAATATCCACCAATGAGCATCAATGCAAAAATCCTCAACAAAATACTGGCAAACCAAATCCAGCAGCACATCAAAAAGCTTATCCACCATGATCAAATAGGTTGTATCCCAGGATTGCAAGGTTGCTGCAACATATGCAAATCAATAAATTTGATTCATCCCACAAACAGAATTAAAGACAAAAACCTCACGATTATCTTAATAGACACAGAAAAGGCTTTTGATAAAATTCAACACTATTTCATTTAAAAAACTCTCAATAAAGTATTGAGGGAATATACCATGAAATAATAAGAGCCATGTATGACAAACTCACAACCAACATCATACTGAATAATCAAAAGCTGGAAGCATTCCCCATGAAAACCAGCACAAGACAAGGATGCCCTCTCTCACCACTCCTGTTCAACATAGTAATGGAAATCCTGGCCAGAGCAATCAGGCAAGAGAAAGAAATAAAGGGCATCCAAATAGGAAAAGAGAAAGTCAAACTATCTCTGTTTGCAGATGACATGATTCTCCATCTAGACAACCTCATTGTCTCAGCCCCAAACCTCCTTAAGCTGATAAACAACTTCATCAATATCTCAGGATACAAAATCGATGTACAAAAATTAATTGCATTCCTATACACTAACAACAACTGAGCTGAGTGCCAAGTCAGGAATGCAATCTCATTCACAATTACTACATAAAGAATAAAATACCCAGGAATACAACTAACCAGAGAAATAAAACATCTCTACAATGAGAAGTAAAAAACACTGTTCAAAGAAATCAGATATGACACAAACAAACGGAAAAACATTGCATGCTCATGGGTAGGAAGAATTAATGTTGTTAAAATGGCAATACTGCCTATAACAATTTATAGATTCAACGCTATTTCTATCAAATTACCAATGACATTCTTCACAGAACTAGAGAAAACTATTAAAAAATGCATATGGAACCAAAAAAGAGCCCAAATAGCCAAGGCAATCCTAAGCAAAAAGAACAAAGCAAGGGGCATCATGCTACCTGACTTCAAACTATACTACAGGGCTACAGTAATCAAAACAGCATGGTACTGGTACAAAAACAGACACACGAACAGACACTCTTCAAAAGAAGACCTAAATGGGGCCAACAAGGATATGAAAAAAAAAAAAGCTCAACATTACTGATCAGTAGAGAAATGCAAATCAAAAGCACAATGAAATCCCATCTCACACCAGTCAGAAAAGCTATTATTAAAAAGTCAAAAATAACAGATGCTGGTGAGGCTATAGAGCAAAAAGGAATACTTACACGTTGTTTGTGATTGTGGAAAACAGTGTGGTGATTCCTAAAAGACCTAAAAGCAGAACTGCCGTTTGACCCAGCAATCCCATTACTTATATACTCAAAGGAATATAAACTGTTCTATCATAAAGACACAGGCACATGTATGTTCATTGCAGCAGTGTTCACAATAGCAAAGACATAGAATCAACATAAGTGCCCATCAATGGTAGACTGGCTAAAGAAAATTTGAGACATATACACCATGGAATACTATGCAGCCAAAAAAAGAATGAGATCATGTTCTTTGCAGGAACATGGGTGAAGTTGCAGGCCATTATTGTTAGCAAACTAATGCAGGAACAGGAAGCCAAATACCACAAGGTCTCACTTATAAGTGAGAACTAAATAAAATGAACACATGGACACACAGAGGGAAACAACAGACACTGGGGCCTACCTGAGGGTAAAAGGTAGGAGGAGGGAGAGGATCAGGAAAAATAACCAGTGGGTACTAGGCTCAATATCTGGTTGAAAAAATAATCTATACAACAAACCCCTGTGATATGAGTTTACCTATGTAACAAATCTGCAGATGTACCCCTGAACTTAAAATAAAAGTTAAAAAAAGAAAGTCAATGTCTTATTGTGCTATGTAAATAATTAGTTCTTGCGTATTATTTCCTATTAACATTGTATATATCTCAGTCATTAATTAATCTAACATGATTAACATTAATCAGTATCACAATGTGACTAAAGGTAAACTGATTTCAGTCACAATCACATTTCTAATTTATATTTCTGAAACATTTTGTTTCCACATTATTTGAAGACATATACTATTTCAATGACTTTAAAATGAATACCTAGATTGGTAAGCATAAATTTCTCAGTTTATTTCTCCAGGTTGTGCAGCAAATTATAACTGTAGAAATTATGTGAATTTTAGTACTGCCTATGCCACATTTTGGCAATGTGATCTTGAGGAAGTGTCTGATATTGTCAAGAGGTTTCTAAATGTCTAATCTTATTTCTTCAAGAGATTAACCAGTTTTAATTAAATTACTTATTATCAAGACAAGATATACCAATTTAAACAACGTTTAATGTGGATTTTAATTTTAAAATAATCAATGTAAACATTTCATTAATTCTGTTCATATTGGAAAACTTTTATGGTTTAAGTGTGCATTGTCTAAACAGAATAAAGTGTTTACAACACTATAATAAAATATAAAATATGCATATGTTAATGTTTACATAACTTAATTGTATACATTTATTTTAAGCTTTTTCTTCTCTAAATAGGGACTGTGAATTGCAGAATAATATTTTTTTCTGAAACTATTAATTATGGAAAAGGTAAAAATTTTACATCAAATTTTGGAACTGCTATGCCTGGGAGAAAAATACATTTAATTAACATCAACACCAGCATTTCCGTTGCATAAGCCAAGTAGACATAAAGTACTGAATGTCTCAGCTATAACTTCTTTAAGAACATTATTGTATTTTCTTGAATAACTACATGATTTACAGAGTGTTAGTGAAAAAAAACTTTATGTTCAATGCTATTGGGATATACGTTAACCTGATTAAATGTCTAAGAATAATAAAACTAGAATTTGATGTTATATTTCCTTACAGGCAACTATCAATTTTGAAAGAAACCATCTATCACAAAGACAAAAAAAAAACTGTTTTCAGAATATTTAAATTACGGAAAATATGCAATGAATCGCATTCTGATGAACCCAGGGGGCTGATAAGAAAACTGGAACTTGCAGATGAACATAGTACACAAAGTTCTTCTCGGTTTTCTTTTCATTTTCCAAACATTTTATATAGGCTTATTAGGTACAAATGAATGTATAACTGTGAATTTGCATCTAGTTAGGGACACTGGAGAGAAGGTTAATAATATTGCCATCTTTTAAAGACGTGGCTATTAGCTGTAAACATAATTAAATTGGATTTTTGTTAAAACTATGCTATAGAATTGTGAATAAAGCTATTTAAATGAAAGGTCAGGGCTGTACAGGTAATGATGTACTAAGTTTCCTTCCACATAGGTTCAATATTTTCTGTACATCCTTTGGAATGTTATCCTAGTGTTCATGTCTGCCAATATCGATGGAAACAACTATGCAGTCACCCCTGAACTTGGGTGTCTGGGTTTGGTGGAATGAACACTACTGGGAGTCAGTGTATCTAGAGTTTTGTACTGCCTGTGCCAAATTCTAGCTCTGTGGCCTGGAAGAAGAGATTAAAATTGAGGAAGTGATTTCTAATTTAAAAATTGGAAATTCTAATTTAAAAATTGAAAATACAAAATACCAAGAAATTATATTATTGCAACCATTAGATTAAAATAGAATATAATACTTTTTAAAGGACAGTTTCTAAATATTTATTTTTATCTTATGCTATTATATTAGGCTCCAAAATGCTTTTTTTTTAAAAAAAAAAACAGCCTTATGGAGGTATACTTGACATATGATAACTATGCATATTTCAAGTGTGCAAATTGATGAGTTTGACATAGATGGATATGCATCCACCCATGAAATTATCACCACAATCACAATAGTAAACTTATTCACCACCCCAAAAGTTTTCTTGTGCCTCTTTGCAAATCTTCCATCTCATTTCTAAAAGCCAACCTAATTCCTAGGCAACTCCTGATTGGCTCTCTGTCACCATAAATTAATTTGTATATTCCAGATTGTATAGAAAAGGAATTATAGGGCCTGGCATGGTGGCTCACGCCTATAATTCCAGTACCTTGGGAGGCCAAGAGGGGCGGGTCACTTGAGGTCAGGAGTTCAAGACCAGCCTGGCCAACATGGAGAAAACCTGTCTCTACTAAAAATATAAAAATTAGCAGGGCATTGTGGTGCGCACCTGTGATATCAGCTACTGGGGAGGCTGAGGCAGGTGAATCGCTTGAACCCGGAAGGCAGTTATTACAGTGAGCTGAGATTGCACCACTGTACTGGAGCCCTCGAGCCTGGGCGACAGAGCCAGACTCCATCTGAAAAAAAAAAAAAAAAAAAAAAAAAAGGATTATATAGTGTATACTCTTTGCATTTGGCTTTTTTAACACAGCATAATTATTTTGAGATTCAACTATGTTGTTCCATGTCACAACTGCATATTAATTTTTATTGCTGAGTAGTACTCCATTGTAAGTCTACAACACAACTTATTTATTAATTCACTTGTTAAACACTGGTGTAGTTTCCAGCAGCTTGCTACAGGAGATAAAGATCCCATTATCTTAACAATTTTATTGTCTGTATAGTAATATCTCACTGTAGTTATTATTCCCATTTTCCAAATGATTCATGATGTTAAACTTCTTTTCATGTATCTGTATATCTTCCTCGGAGGGCCTACTTTTTATTCACCTTATGTACACTGCACTTACCACAGTGTCTTGAATATGATACACACAGGCAAAATATAACTTAACATAAATTTTGTCAGATTTTGAGTAATAATATAGTTTTCATAGATTTGTCATCTTTAAAAAATGAACTTTTTTTGTAGAATGAGTTTAGGTTTATCTAAAAATTTGAACAGATAGTACAGAGGAAATTCGTATACCTAACACCCAATTTTCACTTTTATTAACATTTTACAAGAGTATGATACATTTGTCACAATTAGTGATAGAATATTGATACAGTTATTAAATCAAACCATATTTCATTCAGCTCTTTTCATTTTTACCCAATTCCCTTCTTCTGTTCCAGAATCCCATCCAAGATTCCATATTACATGTAATCGTCGTGTCTCCTTAGCCTCTTTTTGGCTGTGATAGTATCACAGACTTTCCTTCTTTTCAATAATCACAGTTTTGAGGAATAATTGCCAGTTATTTCATATACTGCCCCTCAACTGAGATTTGTATATGTTTTTTCTCATTACAGATAGGGGTTACGGGTTTTTGATACAAAGAGCATAGAGGTGAATTATCATATTCATCAGATTATACCAAGAGCATCTACTATCAACATCACTTGGTTTTGTGACAGTTGTTAGAGTTTACAATATTCTATAAAATATATTTTGAGAGAGTGGTAGCTAATTTTTAACATATATATAATTTGGTCCATTTCTCACAAGATTAAAAGAAAACTAGTAGTCTCATTAAAATTCACACATTTTGGAACCAAAAATATTATAGCTGTCTCACAACAGAATAAATATACATGTTTGAAATGCAATTGTCTCTCACAACCAAGACATTATCTAAACAAATGTCTCCTTCTGTCTGCTCAATTCCTGTCCTATTTAATATAATTAGTTTAGCTTTCTAAATGCAGGTTGATAAATAGTATATCATTGTAAAACAGAGTTGAAATATTCTTACGTCTTAAGCAAAAGTCTAACTTACAGTTGTCTATTTTAAGAAAATAAACGGGCTAAATTTTATTACTTAATGAAAATCTGAAATCATCCTAAAGTGTCTCAAGGGAAACAATTTGGTTCATGGTGCAATGTAAAAGGCACACACTAAAAATGTCCTAAGTTTGAATTTCATAAAAGCCACTAACAAGATGTTTGCCCATTAGAAAGACTCTTAACTCCCTTGAGTTCTGTTTTTCCATAAAATTGTATCGTAATGGTGGTAAGATGATCTATGAAGATTTCGTTTTTTTTTTTTTAAGTTCCAGGATACATGTGCAGAATGTGCAGATTTGTTACATAGGTACACATGTGCCATGGTGGTTTGCTGCAACTATTAACCCGTCATTCAGGTTTTAAGCACAGCATGCATTAGGTATTTGTCCTAACGCTCTCCTTCCCCTTGCCCCGCAACCCCCAACAGGCCCCAGTGTGTGATGTTCCCCTCCCTGTGTCCATGTGTTCTCACCGTCAACTCCCACTTATGAGTGACAACATACGGTGTTTGGTTTTCTGTTCCTGTGTTAGTTTGCTGAGACATTGAGAGATGACAACGTGCTAGCAGCCCTTGCTCACTCTGGGCGCTTCCTCGGCCTTGGCGTCTGCTCTGGCCGGCTTGAGGAGCCCTTTGGCCCGCTGCTGCTCCGTGGGGGCCCCCTGCTGCTCCGTGGGGGCCCCCTCTCTGGGGCTGGCCGAGGCTGGAGCCGGCTCCCTCTGCTGGCGGGGGGGGTGTGGAGTGGGAGGCGCGGGCGGGAGCCGGGGCTGTGCACGGCCCTTGTGGCTCTGCGCAGGTTCTGGGTGGGCCAGGGTTCCGCGGCCCCGCGGGCCGGCACTCAGCGCCGCCGGCCGGCGGGCGCCTGCTGGGCTTGATTAGGGGACCAGCTCCCTCTGGGCTGCCGGACTGCCCAGGCTAGGTGCTGCAAAGTCCCTAGGCGAGTGCCACTGAAGGATGAAGCCAGCTGGGCTTCTCGGACCGGTGGGGACTTGGAGACCTTTTCTGTCTAGCTAAAGGAGTGTAAACGCAACAATCAGCACTCTGTGTCTAGCTAAAGGTTTGTAAACACACCAATCAGCACTCTGTCAAAACGAACCAGTCAGCTCTCTGTAAAATGGACCAATCAGCTCTCTGTAAAATGGCCCAATCAGTAGGATGTGGGTGGGACCAGATAAGGGAATAAAAGCGGGCCACCCCAGCCAGCAGAGTCAGCCTACTCAGATTTCCTATCCGTGATGTGGGAGCGTTGATTTTTTGCGTTTTTTTTTGCTCTTCAGGAATGAGTCTCGCTGTTGCTCATTCTGTGGATCCCTGCTGCGTTTATAAGCTGTAACGCTCAGCGCTAAGGTCTGCAGGTTCAGTCCTAAAACCAGTGAGACCAGCGACCCACCAGAAAAAACTAGCAACTGCAGACGCGACGCCTTTAAGAGCTGTAACACTCATCGCGAAGGTTTGCAGCTTCACTCCTGAAGCCAGGGAGACCACGAACTCACCAGAAGAAATAAACTCCGGACACATTTGAGCATCTGAAGGAACAAACTCCGAACACACCATCTTTTAAGAACTGTAACACTCACTGCGAGGGTCCAAGGGTCTGCAGCTTCATTTTTGAAGTCACCAAGACCAAGAACCACAAATTCTGGACACAACATCATTTCCTGTGGGATCATATTCTGGAATCACAGAGGTAATTTATTCCAACGCAAATCAGAATTGCAATCTATGTAACAATATTACCTACACTTTTAATTGTTCACCTCCCTTCTATTTGAGCACCTTTAGAGACAGGAACTCAGAATACTCACTCCACTTGCATATCACCATCTACATGCCGCTTACATGCTGAAAATTTTATATTTACCAATTGCCTACTCACTTGAATTTTTAATAGGTATCTCAAACTTGACGTGAGTAAAACTGGGCCCTGACCCTTTGTGTGTGTGTGTGTGTGTGGGTGGGTGGGTGGAGGGGGGGGTCAAAAAACAATATATTTTCCATTTTGTTTTGAAAATTCTGAAAAATCTAAAAAAGCTTAAAATATCTATAATCATGCTATTTTGAAAATCATAAAGAAGTAAAATTCTATTCCCCAACCCACTTTCTAGAGAAACGTTGAGTATCATGACACATTGTTTGGTGGAGAAATAACCAAAAAAAAAAAAAAAACTAATTTCTGGGAAGATCAGGTTTTACTGCAGAGGAAAAAGAATCTAGCTGGTTTAGAGAGAAACAGTTTTATCACTGGAGTATTACATAAGATTTTATGACTGTTGGGAGACTTGAAGAGGTGAACTCCAAGCTGCTCTTCCAGCAACAAATTCCCAAGCAGAGTGGGGTGGTGCCAGCTCCACAACCAGCTGATCTGTTATTGTCTTCATCAGCAAAGGGGTGGCTCACACCCTGACTGTCTTCCAGGTTATCTCAGTTTCTTTAAAAAAAAAAAAAAATTCAATAGGTTTTTGGGGAACAGGTGGTGTTTTGTTACATGGATATGTTCTTTAGTGGTGATTTCTGAGATTTTGGTGCACCCATCACTTGAGCAGTGTACGCTGTACCCAATGTGTAGTCTTTTCTCTCTCACCCCCATTTCACCCTTCCAAAGTCCGTTGTGTCATTCTTATGCCTTTGTGTCCTCAAAGCTTAGGCCCACTTACAAGTGAGTATATACAATGTTTGGTTTTCCATTTCTGAGTTACTTCACTTAGAATGATAGTCTCCAATTCCATCCAGGTTGTTACAAATGCCATTATTTTGCTCCTTTTTATGGCTGTGTAGTATTCCATGGTGTATATATATATATAGAGAGAGAGAGAGAGAGAGAGAGAGCATTTTCCTTATCCATGCATTGATTGATGGGCATTTGGGTTAATTCCATATTTTTTTCAATTGCTAATTGTGCTGCTATTAACACGTGTGCAAGTCCTTTTCATATTATGACTTATTTTCTTCTGGGTAGATACCCAATAGTGGGATTGCTGGATCGAATGGTAGATCTACTTTTAGTTCTTTTTGGAATCTCCACACTGTTTTCCATAGTGGTTGTAATATTATGATAAACATTAATTCTCACTACTCTAATTTGAAAGCAAAATTTGTTAGGTAGTTACTTCTACTTTTAAGACCCACATTATTTCTCTTCTGAATGTTTTAGGTTATGCTTCTTTAGAATACCACAGTCAATTTAATTCATAACTCTGACTCATAGTTGTATTAAAATTCTGCTGTCTTGTATATCTTTTTGTATATATATATATATGTGCATTTCATGCTCATGCTTATTAAATATAGAATTTAAAGAGTATTAGTTTTGTCCCAATCCAGAAAAAATTTGGATGATAACTTTGTTGAGAAATCAGTATTATTTTCTCTCAACGTATTGTTTTATTTTAATTTTATATCATCCTGATTTTCTTCAATGAAATAAACTGGGTAGTATTTTATATATCTAATATTTCATATCCCAAGTTCTGCTAACTTTGACTTCAGGATTAAGACTCTTAATTGCTCATGGATGTTTATCAAAATCAGATTAATCAAAAGATTTAGCAAATGTGCCTCGTTTTCTTGATTAAAAGCAATCAAATGCTGAATGTTTTCCAAGTAATCTAAGGGGGAAAAAAAGATCTAAATGACACCACATGCTTCCAATTGAAAATAGAGTAGAGTGCGTGACAGCTTCATTAAAGCCTTGTTATAAACCACTTTTAACAAAAACAACAAAAATCAACATACCCAACAAATCTGAACCGTGGGAAGAATACTACTGGATAACTTTGCCATTCTTTTCCTCCCTCTGGCTAAGTAACTTTATTCAATATTTTTATCTGGTAGCTAAATACTCTTATGTAATCAACAAGATGTCTAGAATTTTTCTTCTCTCGTAATGTTAGTCTTGAAGCAGTATCACTTCCCTTTAGTGAAGAAAAAGAGTATATTATACTGATTTTGTGAAATATTTTTGATTTAGTATAAAGAGCAACCATACTTTCACTGTCATGCAGTGTTCAAATAAAAATTATATATCTGGCGATGGTGATATACCTGTAAAAATTCAAACTTTCTCTTTAAAATAATCTATTGATAATGTTCCAGAAAAGTTAATCTAAGAGTTTAGCAATGATCAAAGTTTTTCAATTTTGCCAACTTCATTTCTATAAATCTATTGTAATTTTGTTGAGATTTTGTTTTGTTGTCACTACTGACAAATATAAAAATGGTACTATATGATATTCAGTTCTATCGGATGTTTATTTGTATTTATCAGATGTTTACTTTTTAATTCTACAGAAACATTTTCAAGGTAATTTATTGGAGAGTTATCTGAGAGAATTTTCATCAGATATTTATATGAACTGAGTCTATAATTCTTTTGTCTATCAAATTGATAATGCAGACTGGAAAATCCACTTAATAGAAATTGAGGCAATTTAGAATAAGAGAGGAAATTACAAAGAAAAGCTAATAATGGCACTGAAACAAAAAGAGAATTCAGAACATGATGGCTGGGAATGACCTAATCTTTACCCCGTCTCCTTCTGTTGTTTCTGTTGCGTGCCAGAGAGCTCATATTTAAGCTCAAGAAAAACAAAAATGAGAATGCCTAACAGGCTAAATTGTATTTTCTATGTGTGCATTTCCTACACAAAAGTATAGCATTTTATGATTTCCAACATATTTTATTAAAATGCATAATATATCTATTCACACGTAAATGTTCTTATAATGTCTATCACATTTAAGTGGAAATTTTTACATTTCCATCTAATTTTAGTTTCTTTAACTATAAAAGATTTACGCAGGCTCTGGTTATATGTGATTCATACACACAAGAATGTACACACACACATTTTTAAACATGTATAATGGCAGTGTATGCGTTAAAATTATATTGACAAAATATGAGTAGATTTCTGATGTATCTGTGAACTCTTCAGTACATCAAAAAGGAAATAAATTTCTTTACTTGCTGTTTTCTCTTTCTACTGTGTCTGTAAACATGCTGCATTTATTTCTCCCTTAAGTGGTATATTTACTTTCTGCAAGACCACGAGGCTCTATTTCCATGGTACACTTGAAAAAAAAAATTAGCCCAAATAATTTCAAACCAGAGTTTTTCAGTCTTCACATGATTCACCTACTCTACTTTTATACTCGCTTTCATGTAAAGATCTAAGTAATGTCAGATTTGGGGAGAGAGGCTTGGACAAATATATAAAATATGGCATGTGCTGCCTGCTATGAGAGACTACAAATTTTCTATCACTTGAGGTCAGTAGTAGAACTGAATATTATATGCAACATTTATGAATCAGATGTGAAAATATGGCCTGTATGGATTCTAAGGAACTTCACAAGTACACTTTTCTGAGTTAATTTACATATTTTTTATTACTTACATGTATATGATAGTGTTTTTATATAGTGCATGTTCTTATTTCCAGTTCATTGATATTCTCTTGTCCTCTTTATTACTTGGCAGATCATAGTGCTGATAAGCAACTGAAAAGGATTAAATTCTAACATCTCTTGTAGTGTGCTTGCATCTAAATGAATGCACCACAAATATTTGTGGTCTTCTCAACTGTCAGCACCAGAATAGTCATGTGTGCTATTGATGGTTCTAGTTATCTCTTGTTACATAACAAACTGTCACAAAACTGTATCTTAAAGCAAAAAATATTACTTCTTTCAAATTTGTAGATTGAGCTCAGTTGACTTCTTGATTGTGGTTTTCTATGTGGTTTTAGTCAGATAATGGCTAGCATTGTAGATATCTCAAGATTTCTTTACTTACGTGTCTGATGTTTGGGTTGGAATGACAAGAATAGCTGTAGGCCGAGGAAGCTTTTTTGTCTTTAGGCAGCCCCTTCCTGTGGGCTTTCTCAAAACATGGCAATCTCAAAGCTATTGGACATCTTGCATGGTGGCCAGCTTTCCCCAGAGTGAAGTTTCCAAAAGACTAAAGCAAGAGCCAACAATTTTTCCTATAATCTTATAACCAGAAAAATCAGTGCCACTTTTGCTGCACTCTATTATAGGGCCAGCCTAGATCTAAAGAGGGAGGAAAGGGAATTTACAAGGAAATGAACGCTAGGAAGTGTGGTTCACTGGGTAGGAAGGATTGTCTTCTAGATTAACTACCACAATGTTAACCAAATCAAGAAAATTTTTAAAAATCTGATTTTTAAAAATAATTGTTACTAGAAAGATCAATCCAACAAAATTTAAATAATTATCTTGAGATTTCATTTACCTGCATTGCAGTGGGTGTTGAAATGTAATTATGTGTGAAAAATTTATCTATTGATTTACTTATTTTGCTATAAACACATTCTGCTAGATCAATGAAGTTCCCATTAAAATATGATGTTTCTCAGTAGTCACAATAAATCTGCTTCACAGTGTTAAGACAGCTAGCTGATGACTTTCAGCTCTTTATCGACTGTATGACAGAGAACTCTGGGACATCAGTCAATCATTTGCCAAGAGAATGTAAAATGTACAGAGCTATTTTCCCTGAAAATATGATAATTTTCCCCATGAAATTCCTGTGGACTCCTTATGAGATTCAGGATAATCCTCAATTTGTGCAAACTTACTTAGATTTCAGTACAAACTTTGGTCTTATTTCTAATATTTATTGTTCTTTTTTAAATCAACAATATAAAATCATTGTATCCCACTCGAGATCATTCAGTCTAAATTTTAGCATTAACTACCTCTTGACAAAAGAATAGTTTTAAAACTTGATGATTAGAGAACATTTCTAAAGGAAATCATAACTATACTGAAATTATTTTACCACTGACAGTCACTGATAATCATTTTTTGGGTTGGTCATTTTTGCCTGTGTCTGCAAGAGGAATATTGATCAGGTTCCCTCTGCTCTAATTTGACCCAAATAAGATTAAACACCTAACTGCATGGCGTATTTTGCCAATGGAACTACATTCTGGGATAGGGCCAAGCCCATTCAGCAATATTAATTGATGCATTACTTCTAGGTCAGATAGACTTTCTAGAATATTTCAATCCATATTAAATTCCTCCTCACACATCTTAAGGATCAATTTGTGTGTAATTCTCGAGGATGATAATGTTTTATTCACTTGATAAAAATAGATGATTGTGTCTAGATTATTTATCTATCCATACTTAGAGATGTTACATTCATCGAGTTTTACTAAAATTATTACTGTCCCAAACTTTTAAGCTCTTGTTTGGGAAGTATGTCATCCAGATTTTGTAACACCCAGGTGTTTTACACATTTCAAGTTCAGATTATTCAACTAATCATTTTAAATACAGCTTTTAGACTCATATGCCAGAAAACCAAAAGTGATATTATTATGATTTTTCAATTTTCTTTATTTATGCTAACCAGATTATTAAAAAGACTCAATAATCGGTAGTTTAATCACTGTACCTTAGTACTCATGCAAAACAAAGATGGTAAAAATAATCTTATTGAGGCTTCAAAAGGTTTTTTTGGTCAATATTAAATTTTCTTTAGGTGCACATTCTTTTTTACTTATTAAGTATCTGACACCATTGTTAAATAAGTGGCATAGAAACAATCACACTCACGTTTGGGAAAAAAAGACTTTAGAGTAAATTGTGTATTTTCTGTCAAAACGGGCAAATGATGCTACTAAAGAATCACTATAAAGAAATAATCTAAAATTAATTATTTTAGAAGTGAATATTTTGGATAGATATGTTGCAACTATGAGATACTTTTTAAAATGATAAACATATAACCTATTTCATTTTTTTTACAGGTAATATCCTATAATTCATGAATTTCAAGTATATAATTCAGTTTTTAGGTAAATTTACCAAGCAGTGCAAACATTAAAATAAATCCATTTTCAAACATTTCTATCATCCAGTAAAATCCATCCAGCCTACTTATTGTCAATCTCTTCCCACCTCCCTCAACTCTCACCCCAGGTAACCACTATTTTCCTTTCTGTCTCTATAGATTCCAGATTTCATGTCATTTCTTATAAATGGTACAACAAAATAGATGGTCATTTTTGCCTGACTTTTTAATTTACATAATATTTTTCAAGTTTATTCATACTTATTATGAATAATGCTACTGAGAGCATTAGTGTACAGTTCTCATGTGAATATGTTGGGTATTCACATACCCAAAGAAAATTAAATTGATACACCATATAGTAAAACTAGGTTTAACTTTCTAGGAAACTATCAAACTGTTTTCTAACATAGTCATTTAGTGTGTGTAAAATAGTATATCGTTGTGGTTTTAATGTTGTTGACTATCTTTTCATGTAGTTATTAACCATTAGCACATCCTGTGTAATCCTTTTGAGAATATTTTGTCTTTGGAGGTCACAGCTGACAGCAGTAACTAAACCATTTTTTTAATAGAATGATTTATTAAGACTATTTTGAAAAAGACTGTGTGAGAATCCTCATGTCATAATTGGTGTTGGGATGGGCTTAAAAGTATAAAACTAAAATTGCAGTGCTTTGCTTGAGGATGTTCTTATGCAATCTGAATTTCATGCAAAATAATTATCTGGGGATTATTATGATGCATTCAGCATATAGTGTCTTAGCTCAACTCAGACTTAAGTGAGTAAATGACTTCTCAGGTAGATTTGCTAGTTAGGCTTGTCATTAATAAAATCATGTTAACCCTGTTCTTAACTGGATCCTTAAGCCATGTGGTTTCTATGCAATTGGCTGTGTAACAATAGTTTTCTAGGTATTTCTTTAGGCATTGACTCTAACCATCAGTCTTGAAGTAATAATTACTCAATATTTGTCAAAATATCACTTAAGACCTCTACTTCTAGAAATATGATGGTTGAGATAATATGAAAATCCACCTGCTGTATCACATACAGGATAAATGTCAATAAAAATAATTTTATATGCCCAGAAGATCTTGTAAAGCAAGAGAAAACTCCAAATACTACTCAGCCCCCACCCCTCAAAAAAAAAAAAAAAAAAAAGAGTAGCAAGAATGTGACTTCAGAGTAGAATAGCAAACAAACATGGACTCTGGAATGTACAGCACTTTTGAACCTTGGTTTGAGCCCATGTCAGTGGACAACAAACCTGAACCTACAAAAAAAATTGTATATTCTCAATAGGTGAATAGGTAGACTAGAACAAAATTCAACTTGCTAGGCATGGTAAGGGCTTTATAAAGAAAAGTGTCTGCCTGTACCATAACCTAGGAAAAGAATTATTAATAATAACAAGCTAATAATAACAGCAATAACAAAAAAAGCCTGACTTTAAGTTGTCTTGAGGTTTGAATTTTTATTATTTGGATGATCATGGAAAATGGAAATCACAAGTTAGGAAAATATTTAAAGCTTGATAGTGTCTCTGACACCCAGAAGAAGCAAATACACAATTTCTCTAGAGAAATCATGTTCTACTGAGGCTATTAAGGATTTCCACAGCAAATATTTAGCCAATTATTAGCTACCAATAAAAAAAGTACAAGTTACATTAGCAAGATACTGTCATAAAAATGACAATATCCCTCACGGATTTGGTATTCTGGAATTATGAAATACAGAATAAAAGGAAACGCTTAATATATCCCCCACAAATTTTTTAATGAAACAACATAGCAATAGCAAGAAACCATTAAAAATAGGTTAAAACAAGGCACTTAAAAACACCAAGTAGGACACCTATCTGGATTCTAAAGGTAAGCCATTCTTTCCCATGTTGTCCCCACATGCTAGACTGCTCTGCATCTCATCTCAGTTTCTTTTTTTTTTCCTGCTTTATTTGGCGCCGGGGAGACTTACCTACTCTCTTAAAAGTTTAGCTGAGCATGTAAAATTATATTTATTATGATTTATAAAGCATCCGGGTGATATAGTGCAATAGTTTAGATGTTCATCTCTCCAAACTTTATTTAAATTTGATCCCCAAGTTGGAGGTGGGGCCTAATGGGAGGTGTTTGGGTCATGGGGGCAGATCCTTCATGAATAGAACCCTGCTCTCTGGGACAGAGTTGGAGTGAGTGAGTTCTCATTCTGTTCTCATGAGGGCTGGTTGTTAAAAAGAGCCTGGTGGCCGGGCACAGTGGCTCACACCTGTAATCCCGGTACTTTGGCCCAAGTGGATAGATCACTTGAGGTCAGGAGTTACAGATCAGCCTGGCCCACATGGTGAAACACTGTCTCTACTAAAAATACAAAAAAAAAAAAAAAAAAAAAATTTGGCAGGCATGGTGGCAGGCACCTGTAATCACACCTACTCAGGATGCTGAGGCAGGAGAATTGCTGGAGCCCGGGAGGCAGAGGTTGCAGTGAGCCGAGATCATGCCACTGCATCCTGGTACCTAATTCCCCTCCTCCTCTTGTTTCCTCTCTCACCATGTGATCTCTACACACAAGCTCCCCTCTGCCTTCTGCCATAATTGGAAGTAGCTTGAGGCCCTCATCAAAAGCACACGTCAGCACTATGCTTCTTGTACAGCCTACAGAAGTGCATCAAATAAACCTCTATTCTTTATAAATTACCCAGCCCGAGATGTTTCTTTATAGCAATACAAATGGACGAAGACTTACAGCAAGAGGATTTTTAAGAATATTTCATTTTTAATATTCCTGGAGATAAAAGTGTCAAGTAATATTTTGACAGAGAGTAATCTTTACAATACCTTTTAAGAAAGCAGTTTAATGCATTTGTCTTCGACATTGATAAAAATAAAATTTGTTTTATCTTGCATACTGTGTAATTGCTAAATGCTCCTCTCATTTTGATGTTTTCTAATCATATAATTTTTGATTTTCCACAAACCCTACGTAGATTCTATTATTTGTGAAAAAGATTATTTTATTCTACCTTTCCTTTCTTATTTCTTTTATCTGATTTAAGTTTTTAGAAGTACAGTCACTTTAGAAATATGTATGTTACAATCTATTGAAGCTGAATTTGTTCATATCCTGTAATACAACAATTCCATCTCTAGTATTGACCCAAGGGAATGCATAAACAACTTCTACCAATGTCATGTACTAGAAAAGTACACAATTTGTCTGAAAACCACTGCCAACCGGTAAAGATTGTTAGCAGTCTGAGAAGAGATAAGAACAGACATTTCTGTAGCATGTTTACATTGCGACTTATCCAGTGTAGGCATGTCCAGTGAACTAAACGATGTACTTATTGATCTAGTAAAAGTTTAGAGTTACATAACATCTAGTGCATTAAATTCTAGAATGTTCTGTCCTGCTAATTAACTGTGGCTTTCTCCCTTTGAATTTATAATTGTAACATATACACTTTCCTTTATGTATCTTGAACTTCAATAAAAAGGGTTTAAAAGTCATTCAATTCTACAACTTCAAACAATATAATTAGAAACATGCCTAACAGAAAACGTGTGAAATGTCCATGGAAAAATATACATTCTTAGTGAAATGCATTTTGAAGGACCTAAATAAATGGATAAATACAAAATATTAAAAGTCAGAATAATATGTTTATTCTATTCAAAATTATAATCAAATGTAATGAAATTATAAATTACATTTGAAAGATATTTTTATGGAATTTAATTTTAAATTTTATATTGAAATAGGAGTAAAATAAGCAATGTACACCTGAAGAAAAACTGTATAAGAAATTGTCCTACTGGAAAAAAACCTGAAATGTCGGGCGTGGTGGCTCACTCCTATAATTCCAGCACTTTGGGAGACCTGAGATCAGGAGTTCTAGACCAGCTTGGCCAAGACGGTGAAACCCCATCTCTACTAAAAATACAAAAATTTGCCGGGTGTGGTGGCATGCGCCTGTAGTCCCAGCTACTTGGGAGGCTGAGACAGGAGAATCACTCGATCCTGGGAGGTGGATGTTGCAGTGAGCCAAGATCATGCCACTGCACTCCAGCCTGGGCAACAGAGTGAGACTCCATCATACAAACAAACAAAACTATTAAGGACAAATTTTAAGACAGTGTGATATCAATGCAGAAGCCAGACCTAGAAACTGACCTACATATATATTAAAACCTTGATATATTACAGGGTAATATAAAGTGATATATTGCTTATGTATTATAATTTCAGTGAGGACCAGATCACCTGAAAATTGTGTCCTGACAATTTCTTATTTATACGAAAAAAACGTTTCTTAGCATTATTTAATATTTAAAAGGCTCCAATAGAAAACATGCATTTATGCTTTGGAAGGAAATACAAGAATGTACATTTATTTCATCAGCAAAAACAATTTATTTTTTTGTTTTTGTTTTTGAGACTGGGTCTTGATCTGTTGCCCCAGCTGGATTGCAATGCTGTGATCATAGCTCACTGCAGACTCTAATTACTGAGATTAATCAATCCTTCTGCCTCAGCCTCCCAAGTAACTGGGCAGAAGCCACTACACCTGGCTAAGAACAGTGTTTTAACAAAGATAAAACCAAGCTCTGCCTTAAAGAAGCATGGAAAAGTCAAATATATTAAAATTAATATATTATTTTTTAAACCAAAGAAAATACCTGGAAGTGCATATACAAAGTGAATATAATGAACAAATGATTATTTTTTTACCACATATTAATTAGGAGATTGAGGGCTAAGCAGTGAGAACAAATAAGAATTAACATTCAGATGAGTACTACATTGAAAGTTGTATTTCTTTTCTTACAGTGCAAACAGAGTGACCTTGGTTAGTGGTGGCAGTATATGTGTGTGGGGGAGTATGTATGTATGTGTCAGGGACAGGTGAGAGAAGGTAGGAAGAGGGTTTGTTTGACACAATCATTTAGGGAAGAATCATTAACTTTCTTTTCCAAGTTTGTGCTTTGGTCCCCATCCCAATCTTCAGAAAGGGAAAGCATTGAGTAAGACTGTATTGAAAGGTTGTTTTGTATCTGTCCTGGATGTGACACACGTAATTTCCACTCATATTCCATTGGCTGGGACTCAGCAGCATGATATACTCCATCATAAAATGAGACTGAGAAGTGTAACCCGGAATGTCCCAAGATAAAAAATAAGAATAAAATTTTGGTAACAGCTATCAGATCTTCTCACAATATGCAAACAACTCACATAGTCAATAGAAATGGTGAAATATACCCTATTTCAAAAGTAGCTGAAAATCCATACACATATTTTAAAGAAATGCAACAGAACTGTGACTAAATGCAACATTATAAATAAATAAGGATACACAAAACCAAACCAAAATAAAAAATATTTTACCCATTGTGGTCAAAAATTAAAATGAATACAAAAGCCAGGTGAAGGCGCATAGCTAGTTATATTGTAAATTACACTGTAAATTAGTACACCCAATTGTGAGTTGGTTCAGACAGTTAGGGAATAATTTGGCAATATCTGATAAAAGACAAGATTCACATACTCTATTACTCAACAATTTTGTTCCTTTACATAAATTCCTAAAAATTCTTTCACATGCACACCAGAAGAAATATATCAAAATATTTAGAGTAATAGCATTCAGAAAAGTGATCATCTAGAAATAATTCAAATGTTCACTAACAAAAAAATGGATACATATATTATGGCTCATTCATAGAATAAATGCCTGCAACAACTGTGAAATAAACTAATGATACTGATAGCAACATAGATGAATTCAAAAACATAAAATTGAATTAAAAAGGACAAAATCATAGAAAATTATTTATCATAGGATATTTTGTATAGTTTAAAATTCAAACTAAAAAATGCATTGTCAAACTAAAACATATTTTATATGTGTGCATATATATATAATTTCAATTAAAACCAATAAATGTTGAACACAGAAGAACAGAGGTTATCCACACTGAAAAGACAGAAGAATGTCATCTGAAAGATGATCATATTTGGGTTTTTTCCTTGCTTTAAACTGAGTTGCAGATCTAGACCATTTATTTATTTTGTTTAAAAATTATATAGATTCAATATAATATATTTTTTCTTTTATATAAGTGATACTTCTTACAATAAAATATTTAAAATTGATTAAGATCAGCAAGACAGTTTATCAATCCACTCCTCCTGATTTTCAAAATTATATCACCAAATAAAACCAGATCAGCTGAGAGATATGTAACCACCCATATAGTTTCTGATGTTCTACTTTAAATTTATTTTACTCTTCTGTTGCCCTTTTCTATTTTTATAGAATACTTAAGTGCTATATTCACAGATTTACCCTTACAGATGTCCTGATTTCATTTTATCAATTTTCTATCTTGTAATATTTTATATTTTATATACTTAATATAGTTTCTGCATATACTTCTGTATAATAGGAATTTTGCATATGTTTTATGTAAGTAGCAATTCCAAAAATATGACTATAATACTATATTCTAATTTTATGATAATTTTAAGCATTATGCTTTTATATTCCTAAGAGCAGTTTAATAAAGAACATCCATGAAATTAATTAAGCAATGCTACTTAAAAACTGGTGAACACAATTTTTCAATATGCAAAAATTTAACAGTTCTATTCATGCCCAGTGAAGTTTCTGCTAAAATCGTATCCTTGTTTACTTCATTCCCAGACAGCGTAAATGATTTAGTTAGGAGAAGCAAGAATTCAGAAAGGAAGCAAGAAACCAGGAGTCAAAAAGCAATTAGCAGAAGCTGACAGTGTGGCTGAACTTAATAAAACACTAATAATTGTCTCTCTAATTCTTAAAGGAAAAATTTGAAGCCATTCACTGCTGAAAATTATATTTGAAAATAAAACATTCTGTCAGTCTTTAATGATCTGAGATCTATTCTTAATTCTTTGTGATACTCTTTTTTTTTTTTTTTTTTTTTTTGAGACTGAGTCTCACTCTGTTCCCCAGGCTGGAGTGCAAGCTCCACCTCCCGGGTTCACACCACTGTCCTGCCTCAGCCTCCCGAGTAGCTGGAACTACAGGCGTCTGCCACCATGTCCAGCTAATTTTTTGTGTTTTTAGTAGAGACGGGGTTTCACCGTGTTAGCCAGAATGGTCTCAATCTCCTGACCTTGTGACCCACCTGCCTCGGCCTCCCAAAGTGCTGGGATTACAGGCGTGAGCCAGCATGCCAGGCCATTTCTTTCTAATAATTTTAAATGAGATATGTAATCATAAGGCCTAGTATTGTTATTTTCATTCCGTATTCACAATAGCTGTATACTGTCTGATAAATCTTGTTATCTCCAATGATACGTTGCAGAGTCATGCAGTTATTGTGGAAAACAAACCCTTAAATCATATAATGTGTGTGTGTGTCTCACCAGAATTATTTTATAAGTTTAGAAAATCAAATCATGTAAAATATGGATATATATTATATGATATATATGATACTAGTCAATGGGAATTAAACTCTGGAATTAAATTCCTTGAGTCAATGATAGTAAAATATGTAGGAAGATCATGTGTCTAACTATTCTTTGTGAAATAACATGACATTGAGATCTATAGACCCAGCCAACACAATAGACTCAGTGGCTCAACGGAACCTGCCATACTTCTGAGTTGAGGTCTAGTTCAGACCATTCACCTACAGCAGGCCTTGAGGATAGCATGAGAATCTGCACAGAGCTGTCCAACATAAGACTCAGACATTTCCACAAGGCCATTACACATTTCTCAAATATGCACCAGGTGTGTCATGATGGTAAACATAGGAGGAGAAGAAATCTGAAAAGGAACACGTGTCTAAGAAAAACTGGATCATTTGAACATAGGTTTGCAAACTTATGTTCAAAAGAATCTAAAATGGTATTAATTCACAATGGTATGCTCCCCTAAACTTGTTAATTTAGATCCATGCTAGAACTTGAAGAGGAACTTTTTTATTTTTTATATTTTTGAATTGTGCTATCATGAATATTTTATCCTGCTATACTAGGAAAGGTAATTCTTATTATTAGTGAATAATAAATATTTTTAAATTAGATTAAGAAAAGTTAATGAAAAGAGCTCTTGAATAGAAACTATAAATTCTTTTTTTCTGATTCACAAGTAATCTTGTGAAAAATGACGATGGCTGTCTACTAGATTTCAGATATCCTGTGAAAATTAGAAAAGAATATTCACTTTCTGGGTGGCTCAAAGTAAAGGTAGTACATAAAGAATGAGGATAGTACTCATAAATCCATTTTATATCTATTTATAATGACATGTTGATAAATTGGCTATATTTTCAGAATTATTAACCCAAGAACATTTTGCAGCCTATTTATGGAGAAGACACATTAAATCTCTACTACCAGCTGCAAACATTTTCTTCTCCTAGGAACACTTCCCATTTTCTAAATTGTCTTGGTTAGTGTATTTTTTTTCTCTCATGTCATGGAGAATTAGCAGATGACCTTATATTCTACTTTTCAAAGAAAATAGAAACCATATGAAGTGATCTCTCTCAAGAACACTTATTTCTACTTTATTACCTCCATTCCTTTCTCCATCCAGTGTAACTGAACTTCCACAGCTCCTACTCCAATGAAAGTGCTAGATACATTGATCAAGAAAAATATATGGAAACCACAAACTCTTCTTTGCTCTGTGATTTTGGATTGCATAAGTCAATCCTTTTTCTCCCATGGCTTCTGAGACAATACTGTCTACCTTTTGGCCTTTACACTTTACAAAACAGGTACACCTCATTTCATTGAGATTAACTTTATTGCCCTTCATAGATACTGCAATTTCTTACAAACTGAAGGTTTGCAGCAACTGTGCATCCAACAAGTCTGTTTGCACTATTTTTTAAAACATCATATGCTCACTTTGTGTCTCTGTGTCACATTTTGGTAATTCTCACAATATTTCAAATTTTTAAATTATTTTTACATCTCTTAACCTCTTTACATCTCTAATCTATGATAATTAATATTACCATTGTAATTGTATAAGACAACTTAATTGATAAATGTATATCTTCTGACTGTTCCAGCAGTCATTCTCCCATCTGTCTTCCTCTCTTTTTGCTTCACTATTCCCTGAGACATGACAATAATGAAATTAGGCCAGTTAATAACCCTACGATGGCCTGTATGTGTTCAGGTTAAAAAAAGAGTCACATGTCTCTAAATTGACATAAAAAGCTAGAAATGATTAAGCTTAGAGAGAAAGGTACATTGAAAGTGGGGAAAGGCCAAAAGCTAGGTCTCTTGCATGAAACATTTAGCAAAGTTGTGAATGCAAATGAAAAGTTCTAGAAGGAAATTAAAAATGCTACTCCAGGGAACACGTGAACGAGAAATGAAAGTGAAACAACCTAATTGCTGATATGGAGAAATTTTAGTGGTCTGGATATATCAAACCAGCTCCAACGTTCTCTTAAGCCAAAGGCTGATCCAGAGCAAGGCCCTAACAGTCTTCAATTCTTGAAGGCTGAGAGATGTGAGAAAAGTTTAAAGCTAGCAGAAGTTCATTAATGAAATATAAGGAAAGGAGCTGTCTCCATAACGTAAAAATACAAGGTAAAGTAGCAAGTGCTGATGCAGAAAGTGCAGCAAGTTATCCTGAAGATCTAGTCAGTATAATTTATGATGGAAGCTAACCTAAGCAAAATATTTTCAATGTAATTGAAACAGCATTATACTGGAAGATATCATCCAGGACTTTTCTACCTAAGGAAGAAAAGTCAATGCCTGAATTTCCAGCTTCAGAAGACAGGTTTCCTCTCTTGTTAGGGGATAATGCAACTGGCAATTTTAAGTTGAAGCCAGTGTTTGCTTACCATTTGGATAATCTTAGGCCCCTTAAGAATTGTGCTAAATCCGTTCTGCCTGTGCTGTGTAAATGGAACAGCAAAGCCTGCATGACACCACATCTGTTTTAAGGCATAGTTTTTTTGAATATTTTAATCCCACTGATGAGACCTCAGAAAAAGAAAAAAGAAAAAAAAAGATTTCTTTAAAGATATTACTGCTCATTGAAAATGCACCTGGTCAACCAAGAGCTCTGATAGAGATGTACAAGGGATTAATGTTGTTTTCATTCCTGCTAACACAATATCCATTCTTCAGCCCATGGATCAAGAAGTCATTTTGACTTTCAAGCCTTGTTATTTAAGAAATACATTTTGTAAGGCTCTAGTTGCCATAGAGAGTGATTTACCTGATGAATCTGAGCAAAGTAAATAGCCTTCTGTGTAGGATTCACCAGTCTTGATGCCATTAAGAACATTTGCAATTATTCACAGAAGGAGGTCCAAATGTCAGTATTAACAGGAGTTAGGAAGAGGTTGATTCCAACCTCATGGATGATTTTGAGGGATTTTAGACTTCAGTGAAGTCACTGTGGATGTGGTAGAAATAGCAAGATAACTGGAATTAGAAGTGGGCTTGATGCTGTCACTGAGTTCCTGCAATCTCATGTTAAAACTTGAAAAGATGAGCTGCTTTTTAAGGATGAGCAAATAAAGCAGTTTCTTGCAACAGAATCTGCTTTTAATGAAGATGCTGTGAACATTGTTGAATTGACAATAAAAGATTTAGAATATTATATAAACTTAGTTAATAAAGCAGCAGCAGGGTTTGGAAGGGTTGATTAATTTTTAAAGAAGTTCTACTGTGGGTAAAATGCTACCAAACAGTATGCTATGAGAAATCTTTCAAGAAAGAAAAGAGTTAATCTATGGGGCAAAGTTTATTATTATCTTATTTTAAGAAACTGAAAAGCTATTCTACGTTTCAGCAAACACCAGCCTAATCAGTCAGCATCCGCCAATGGAAGGCAAGACCCTCCATCAGAAAAAAAAAAAATTACTTTTTGAAGACTCAGGTGGTTAATAGCATTTTTTAGCAATAAAGCATTTTAAGCTTAAGGTATGTATATTTTCAGACATAATGCTATTACTCACCTAATAGACTATGGTATAGTGTCCACATAACTTTTATATGCACTGGGAAACCAAAAACTTCTGTGATTCACTTTATTGCAATATTTACTTTAATGCAGTGGTCTAGAACCAAATCCACAGTATCTTCAATATACGCCTGTCTTCATTTTCTCTAGTTTTCTGCCAGCATTCCCTTTCTTCTCTTTCTGTTTATTTGTCAATGAGCTTTCATTATGTAATTTTGCATCTATCTGTGATGAATTTCTAATCTACACTTACCAAATCTCTTCCCAGTCTCCAGATTGATATGTGCAATTGCTTGTTTGATGTTTTCATTGGGTTATCTCACACAGACATTTCAAAGATCTCTGAATCTCTGATCATTACTTATTATGCAAATTGGCTTTTCTCCTTTACCTTGGTAAATATATCTACAGACCTCATTCTTAGAGTTCCCTCTTTCAGACTCTCACATCCATTATAATCAAGTCCTACAAATGATAGCTTCTAAATAGCCTATAGTATATTCTTACTGCTCTGTCTCCATTTCGCTCTATTAATTGAGTAGCTAACATTACCATTTATAACTGATGACTATGATGATAATTATTACAATGATCCACAATATAATTTTTACTCTTGTAAGTAATGTTATTAGGTATCCATTTTACTTGTATGCACACTATCTTTCAGACAGTTTAAGCCACTTACCCATAATCTCATAGGCTCTAGTACCCATGCTTTGTAACTAATCTCTTTAGACACCAGTTTATCTGCATATAGGCCATCTTTCACAATAAATCCACAATTATTTGCTTACTAAAAAACAGATCTGTATTCTACACTTTTAGAACTTTTTTGCATTTGAGGCAAATCTACAATTAAAATTTATGTTTCACAATGGCATAAAAAAACTCTCAGACCTACCTAGGAGGTCCTATGCTCACATAGTTTCTCTCAGAAACACAAAGTTTCAGCCCCTTCAAACATCTGACCTTTCCCCCGTATTCTTTGTCCCATTTATACCTTCTTCTATTTGAAATCTAGTTCTTTCATTGAAATTCACTTTACCTCCTTTCTCCCTCTCTAAATTAATAACTCATATTCGTTAAACTGTAAACCATTCCTTAACAGCATTAGTAAAAATTAGCATTTTTAAGGTTAATTTATTTGTTCACAGAGTAAATTTGGGGAGCCACAACATTGTGCCAGTGACAGTGACAGGGCATTGGGGGATATGACTGAAAAATCTCTGTCCACACAGAAGCTACAATCTAGTATTTCCTGATATTTTGTTGTGCTTAAGATATAGCAGATATTATGCCAACTTATTTAATATATCATTTAACCTTTCAGGAAAATATATGAAAAAATTATTAATAATTACTATCCCTATTTTACAATTAAAAACCCGAGACAGGCAGTATGTGACAAACTCAAAGTAATTGCCTCTCTTTTAGTCATTAAATTATGACTATTTAATAAAAACATTACAAATATAGTTGAGTACCACTTAAAAGTTCAAACTCAAGATGAAGATGTTTGCAAGTGGCATTTACAAAGACTAGGAAAAACTTTTTTGCATGTTGATAATAAGATAATTTGGTATGCCGGAGAGCATGAAGAAGTTCCCAACTTTCACATAGTTCAATTAATTAAACCTTAATGACTTCAAAGATCTGGACCTCTTGAACTCAAAGAAGCCCACAGCCTAGCGAGGGAGAAATATATATGAAAAAAACAGGCAAGCAAATAAATAAATTGCAATGTAAAAATGCTGACTCTACTACTCTGTATAATGTATAATGGACACCAAGAAGAAAGTAACATAAATTCTCACAACTAGGTCAGGAAACATTGTATAGAACAAGTGTCTTTACATACTGGTTTTGAAAGTAAATAAGGAGGATACAAAAGAGTTGTAAAATATTTCACACTGGGGACAACAGAGAAATGTGAAAATGAAAAGTTTATGTTTAGAAATAGCAAGTAGACACCTACCTGGTTAGGATAGAATATAAATGGCAGAGGTGTGTTGTGAGGCTAAAAAATTGGACTGGGAATCAGCAGTGAAGGTCTTTTTGTGCTAGGATAGGAAATTTGAATTTCATTCTGAAAGCTCTTGATGGTTTCTTGACATCATGTCAGAAAATGGCATGTTTTTCAAATGTACTTAAATATAACCCTGACCAACCTGGAACTCCCAAAGAGATAAATCATGCTTGGGTGGAGAATCCTCCTAGGTTCACTTGCGGAACCCTAAATATTGCAGGCACTTCAGGCAGGAAATACAGTTCATTAAATTCTGCCTCAAGGGTTGCTAAAATGGTGTCTAAAGATGTTAAAGCAACAGAGCATGCCAAAGCAAATGATGAATTCAGTTTTATTCAATGCAGTTCACACTTTAAAAGTCTCAAAATACTATTAAAGTTAAGAAAAAACATGCAACTATGTAAGCAAAAGCTCTACCAAAATGATAACCACAATTAGGAGATAATGATTATATCTGCAGATATGGGTATTTAATTCTCCCTCTACCTTCTCCCTCTGTGAATTTGGGCAAATCTCTTAACCTCTGCACCTCTAAATGGGTGAAAATATTTTTTGGACTTTGCTTTTGTACTTCGCTTAAAAGTTTGTTTTTACCCTTAAGTGTAATACAGTAAATAAAAGACCACCGTATTAGGTACATGGTATTTTATTATTTATAGTAAAACTTAGCTGATTTAGTATCATGATAGTTACTAATGTAAATTTACTCTGTGGATTAATCAATTATTTTAAATTGATGTTATAAAAATAAAAATAATTTGCTTTCTCTTGGTGACAGAAAATTAGCAGTGTGGAATTTGTTGGCTGGAACTAGACAACTAGAGTCTGAGTAGAAAAGTGCTGTAGCAAAGCTTGGGGAAAATGGCTCAGAAAAAAAAATTTACCGTCAATACAGGATCATGACATTTAGAGTACTGAAAAGTCTGCATATACACAGTGTAAAAATTACTTACGAAGCGGTTTTCTTTTTAAAGTTATATATTTATTGGTATTTAAATTTTATGTATTCTTTGTTACTAATGAAGTTGGCAAACTTCAATTTAAATAGGACTGAAGGAAAAATCTACATGAAAAGGAACAACTTTACTTTTAGTTTGTGTACTTGCATAAACTTGGAGTATAATTTTTCTGCATTAGAATCCAAAACTGTATTTTCTAGGTGAAAATACAATTATAACTAAAAGTTGTTTTGAGTGGACATTGAGTGGACAAGATCAACATGCCATTCTTCATTGACTATTACAAAAATGAGGGCATTTATTTTGCCCTGACAACATTACAGAAAATTGTAAGGTACTGTTAGTAAGAGGGTCCCTCCATCATTCATGACAGGACCACTTTACATTCTTTTTATTTTCAAATTTTTAAAAATTAACACAAAATCGAATGCATTTATTACATGCAATATAATGTTTTAAAGTTTATATACATTGTGGATACTTTCTTAATGATCATCACATCAATAGTTTGGGAATCTTTCTCTGGGCTCACTTAAAGCTGTTGCACACCTATTCCACATAGAAACTATACATCCAGGATCTACTCTCTCCATAAGGGCTTGATCGTTGCTATATGGCAGTGGGAAATTATGAGTTATTGGGTAAAATCTGTTTCTTAAAAATGAGTTTCATAGGTAATTCTGTGTCTTAGAAGCAACATTAAATATTTATGCAAATAAATTTATTCAAAAACTAAAATAGTGTTTTAGGAATGGAAATTATTCCTGTAACTTCAGCAAAAATAGGTGAGATGTTCCTGTAGAGCTAACACTTCTTCACAAAGTCTTTTCCACTCCACTTACCAGCCACACAACACTTGCTTCTCTGCAGAAGGAGTGTCACAAGGATGGTTAGTGCTACGTTTCCCGAAGTGCTCCACTTATGCCTGCCACAGGACATGGCATTTGCCATGTTAGTGTAGCTGGTTGGTGCCCTGTATTCTAAGCGAAGTATCTCACTGCAGAGAGTGTCTTTTCCATCATTGCACAAATTGGGGTTCTTAATTCTAGGTTTGCCTGCACCCTATAAACAGCCCCAATAATAATCCATCAGTAACATCTCCCATTACACTTCAGTTCCAGATAAGAGATGATATTACTGATCCTCTTTCAATAAGGAAGGGGGCAAGGAGAAGGATGCATGTGTGTAATTTGAAAAGACCTCCCGGAGGTTATGATGCATTGCCTAGATAGAAAGTCACCTCCTCAGGAGGATTATTGTTACTGTTTTTAAATACAACAATCATCGATTTTTGGCACAAGAAAATCTTCAAAATATTGAATCTGATTAGTAACTTTCAAGATAAATGAAAATAATAAAGTGGTGTGAAATGTTTAGTAGTATAAGCATAAGGATACTAAAATAAATAGAAATAAACATAACTAAAAGTAACAATAACATACACTGGAAAAATAACATACATTGCCTTTTTCTCCTTTATTTCAGTTTTCTATTATTTAGACTACCATTTCTAAAATCCTACACTCCCAGAAGGACAGATTAATGGAGCTTGACAGAAGCTTAGGAAATCACCTCTGCAGCACCCTGCCTCTAGGCAGCACATGTCTAAACCATCTAGGACGGTTTCATTGTCTATGCTTCTCTAGAATATCTCACTATGCAGACACCATAACCTACATTGGGACTTTCACACCCTGACTGCCCAGAAGTTTTTTCTGGCATACAACAGAAATCGATTAGATCTTAGAATTTTAACCTATTCTTTTGTTTAAAAAGTTTGTAACTCCAGAAAAGAACACACATATACAAGCACACACACATACAAGCACACACATACAGCGAAAGAGAGAGGGGAAAAGAGGGAGAAAGAAAGAGACTTAGTTGTCCCAAGTGAATTATTAAGAAACATTTAATATTTCCAAAAGGGAATTAATTGTTCAAATAACTAGAATAACTTTAGGCATTTGAATGGTAGAATTTGATATTGTTTTATTTGTATGTTAATATCTTAATATTATAAATTGTCTCTTTAAGCATCTTGAATTTTGCCTTGTTTAAATTATTTACAGTCTTTGAACAGCACATTGTGTGTGTGTGTGTGTGTGTGTGTGTGTGTGTATGTATATATTCATAATATGCTTTGGTGGATCTTTGTCATATGTGAAACAAGCATTTTATTTAACATATATCAAAAATGTAATTGCAATCAGCTGTTAAAAATTTTTTTTTCATATATACTCTTTTTTTACAAAGTAACATGAGGTTAGTTGGAAATCCTGTGGTTTTTCTGCTACCTATTGAACCATGACCATAGCTTCTGTCTCTGAAATGAGAAATACACATTCTCTGTAAGGTTATTTCACTGGCAAAAATGCAATGGACAAAAAGGACTTTGCCCTTCTGCTGTTACCTTTGCTTTGGTGGTCTGGATGCTTTACTTCTAATCTGTGACAAAGACTTGACTTGTCCATCCGGCAGCGTGTCTGCTACGCTGAAATGAGATAATAGCAGTCTGAAGTATTTCCTTTGTTTTCCACTCTGCTGTTTGCTTACCTCTTTTTAGAGGTCAGCTATTGCTGTGACAATCTTGTGTAGCTAGAATTAAAGCCAATCCTTATTACTGCAGCTCTTTAGACAAATTGATCTCAGAGAATGCCAATAGCATTAAATCAGCCTTGCAAATAATTACCAAAATTTATTAGTCCCCCAAAAGTCACAATCCTTTCCTTTCTTAAGAGAAAGAAACTGTAAAATAAAAAGCATCCACATGTGCAGACTAATGAGCCAAAATAAATTATTTTGTGCCAGGAAAATATCCAAATGAATTTGATCAGAGAATTTTTTAAAAAATGTTTATTTTAGAGATTATAGAACTAAGGAAAAATATGTAAAGCCGTTTTCTGATGTGAGAGTTTATTATATAGCAATGGTGAACAGCAGGTTTTCATCTTCTCTGGTTATAAAAGCAAATACATTTTCAAAAATCAGTTCAATGTGATAAGTTTAGGTTGAAAATGAGGTTAAATTTCCTGACAATGCTTGTTAAAATAATGTGGTTCTTGGGAAACTGTTAAATTGCCTTTGAAGATATTTTAAGATTTCTGCTGCATACGATTTTACTCATGTGTTCCTTTATTCTATAAAGTGTTTCCTAATTTTTCTTCTCTTAGTAAAGTTAAAACTTATGAACCAAGACACATTTTCACAAGATTTTTACATCTTTATTACTGTCTGGAGGCCAAATATAGACACACAAATAAGAAAAGTGTAGTCCTACTTTTGGCATAGAGTAATTATCTAGAACAAAAGTACTATCAGAACAAAAAACCAAAAAAAAAAATAAAAATGTTATTCTATCACTGAATTTTCATTCTAAACTTTTAACCTCCTCAAACTCATGCAAATGTGTATGACCTGAGCATTATTATATTTGTATAATGATTATATAAATATACAAGTATTCATAATATGATTGAATATAATTATCACCATGTGAACTTTTTTAAATCACTTCAAGTTACTTATCAGAATGTGCTATTGGATATAAAGGAAAACTGAAAGGTCATCCAAGCTCTTGTTTATTGATGTTTGGTCAATGGAGCATCTATGTCAAAATAACCTGGTTTGCTTAGTTAAAATGGTCTACACTGGTATGACTAATTATCATCTCTGGAGTTAGATTTTATTAATACAGATTTTTAGTAGGATCTTTGGCTGGGTTAGATTCTTACTGTATTTAAGGATCATTTACGAATCACTGACAAACTCCTGAAAGTTTGTTTAGATGCTACACACTGGGGTAGGTTCAGAGAATACAAAAATGGATATTGTAATCAATGAAAAAAAATCTTGCAGTATGATAAGCAAATGCAATAATAGAGATATGAAAACAAAAATATAAATGAAATGTTTCTAACACATGCAGCACTGCAGAAAATACATCTAAGTAAAGGTAAAGCTTCTTGGGAGAACTGATGCCTATTCAAAGGGGGAGAAGCATAGGAAAATCAAGAAGGAAGGGGAATAAGACAAAATCATTAATATAAGAAGCAAGAAAGTATCTGCAGGAATTATTTTTCAAAAGTCCTATTGTTGAATCATAAATTTTAAGGGATATAAGTGATGAGGATAGAAAGGTAAGTAGGAACAAGGTTAAGAGGCAAAATTTACTGTTACAGTACGTGGACTTACCTAGAAGTAATGGGTAGCCAACCAAGGAAATTAAGAGAATAACACTGTTGGATGTGTATTCCAAAAAGATTCTTCTAGGAGCTCTGTATGAAATGGTTTGAATGTTTCTGAGGGCTCTGTTCTGTTCCATTGGTCTTTACCTCTGTTTTGGTATCAGTACCATGCTGTTTTGGTTACTGTAGTCTTGTAGTATAGTTTGAAGTCAGGTAGAGTGATGCCTCCAGCTTTGTTCTTTTGGCTTAGGATTGACTTGGCAATGCGGGCTCTTTTTTGGTTTCATATGAACTTTAAAGTAGTTTTTTTCCAATTCTGTGAAGAAAGTGATTGGTAGCTTGATGGGGATGGCATTGAATCTATAAATTACCTTGGGCAGTATGGCCATTTTCACGATATTGATTCTTCCTATCCATGAGCATGGAATGTTCTTCCATTTGTTTGTATACCACACATATACAACTATCTGATCTTTGACAAGCCTGACAAAAACAAGAAATGGGGAAAGGATTCCCTATTTAACAAATGGTGCTGGGAAAACTGGCTAGCCATATGTAGAATGCTGAAACTGGATCCCTTCCTTACACATTATACAAAAATTAATTCAAGATGGATTAAATACTTAAATGTTAGACCTAAAACCATAAAAGCCCTAGAAGAAAACCTAGGCAATACCATTCAGGTCATAGGCATGGGCAAGGACTTGTGTCTTGCCATGGGCAAGGCATGTGTCTGAAACACCAAAAGCAATGGCAACAAAGCCAAAATTGACAAATGGGATCTAATTAAACTGAAGAGCTTCTGCACAGCAAAAGAAACTACCATCAGAGTGAACAGATGGTATTCCCTACAGAATGGGAGAAAATTTTTGCAATCTACTCATCTGACAAAGGGCTAATATCCAGAATCTACAAAGAACTCAAACAAATTTACAAGAAAAAAACAACCCCATCAACAAGTGGGAGAAGGATATGAACAGACGCTTCTCAAAAGAAGACATTTATGCCACCAACAGACACATGAAAAAATGCTCACCATCACTGGCCATCAGAGAAATGCAAATCAAAGCCACGCTGAGATACCATCTCACACCAGTTAGAATGGCCATCATTAAAAAGTCAGGAAACAACAGGTGTTGGAGAGGATGTGGAGAAATAGGAACACTTCTACACTGTTGGTGGGACTGTAAACTAGTTCAACCATAGTGGAAGACAGTGTGGCAATTAGTCAGGGATCTAGAACTAGAAATACCATTTGACCCAGCCATCTCATTACTGGGTATATACCCAAAGGATTATAAATCATGCTGCTATAAAGACATATGCATACGTGTGTTTATTGCAGCACTATTTACAATAGTAGCAAAGACTTGGAACCAACCCAGATGTCCAACAATGGTAGACTGGATTAAGAAAATGTGGCACATATATACCACGGAATACTATGCAGCCATAAAAAAGGATGAGTTCATGTCCTTTGTAGTGACATGGATGAAGCTGGAAACCATCATTCTCAGCAAACTATCGCAAGGACAAAAAAACCAAACACCTCATGTTCTCACTCATAGGTGGGAAATGAATAATGAGAACACTTGGATACAGGAAGGGGAACATCACACACCGGAGCCTGTTGTGGGGTGAGGGGAGGGGGGAGGGATAGCATTAGGAGATACATCTAATGTAAATGATGAGTTAATGGGTGCAGCACACCAACAGGACACATGTATACATATGTAACCTGCACGTTGTGCACATGTACCCTAGAAATTAAAAGCATAATAAAAAAAAATTTATATATATATATATATAAAAGGTTAAACATTTGCTTAAATTGTTCAAATGGCACACGGGATGTTATCCTAAAAAAAATAAAAAATTAAAAACTTAATACATAATAAAAGCAATGGTTTGAATGTAAAAAGACCAAAGATACTTGATATAGTTTGGCTGTATGTCCCCCACTCAAGTCTCATCTCAAATTGTAATCCCCACATGTCAGGGAAGGGAACTGACCCAGAGGTGACTGAATCATGGGGGCAGATTTCCCCCTGGCTGTTCTCATGATAGTGAGTGAGTTCTCATGAGATTTCATGGTTTAAAAGTATATGGCACTCCTGCTGTCATGTTAAGATGTGCCTTGCTTCCCCTTTGCCTTCTGCCTTGATTGTAAGTTTCGTGAGACTACAGGCATGTGCTGCCACACCTGGCTAAGTTTTGTATTTTTAGTAGAGATGGGTTTTCACCATGTTGGCCAGGCTGGTCTTGAACTCATGACCTCAAGCGATCCACCCGCCTTGGCCTCCCAAAGTGCTGGGATTACAGGCATAAGCCACAGCACCCGGCGACTGTGAGAATTCTATGTAGAGAAGTTGAATAGGCATTAGATACATCAGTCTAGATCTACACAGAGTGATAAGTTGGATACAAATCTGTTTTCAATGTGAGTGTGTGTACACATATAAATATATATATTTGACATAAAATTATAATTTACTTATGCAAAAGATAGGGAATAAAAATGATTAAACTGACTTTATTCAACAAGACCTTAGTTTAGCCAATAAGTAGCTGAAGATCATGCTTAGATAGCTCCCCTTTCTATTTTCCAGTTTTCTCTTTTATAAAATGAAGAGTTCAGTTAGGTGATATATGAAGTTTGAACCTTTAGGAAGAATCATACATATAAATATTCATATATTTAGTGTTTGCAGAAGGAGGGAAATCTCATACATAAATGGAGTATATATGTTCCATTTTCCCTGCATAACAGGAGGAAATATTGCTCTATGAGAGTTATAGAGAGGGACCTGGATTCAGATTTAAGTCCACAAAAAAAAAAGATTGAAAGAATCTTTGTGGAACTGAAAAAAAAAAAGATTAAAATAACTCTTAAAATCTCAGTAGGCAGTATGAAGGAGCCAGTTATGTTTGCTTATCTGAAATTTAGGGATACAGATATGTAATTCATCCTTAGTTGCCATTTATGTGCATGGTGGGAAATGTGAAGGGCTATTAGTGTTATCTAATGGTTTGGATGAAGAACAGCAAGGCAAGAGAATAGCAGACAAGTGGGGCAAAAATATTTGTAGCATTGTTAGGATACCCTCTGAGAAGGGAAAGAGGAATATCTTAAAAGAGTTGGGGAAATTCTTGTTCCGGACAGGTGGTACCATTTGGATTATGGTGCCTTTAGAAAGACATTATCTAAATGCCTAAATAACTAAAACAGAAAATGAAAACAGGAAATTGTAAGCCATGGCTCCAATAAAGGAAGTCAAGACATTAAGCATTCTAATGTGTTTGAGGAATCATTATGCCGGGTGTTATTTGTGTGAGCAAGTAGTAAATATCAAACCTTGTGATCAGAAGTTTAGATGTGTGAATTAATGATTTCAGAAATAAAGTTTTAGAGAATAAAGATAACAGAGTCCAGGATGTCACCATGAGAATAGATGAATAGATAGAATAGAGGAGTGATTAACTGGAGATAATAAACACAAAAAAGTGAGACGTTGAGTTTGAATACCTTGTGAAGATCTTGGCAGTATTAATGGAAGTGATTTTGTTTCTATAGTGAAGGGTTGCCACCAGTCCCAACTAAATTAGAAAAAGAGTGGTGAATGAGGAATGAAGACAAAAAATGTCACCAGCACTCTTGAAGAATTTGACTGTGAAGGAAAAGACAGCCAAGGATAATAAAAATAAAATGATGTAAGATTTATAGAGTAGAAAGATTGGTGAAGGTAGTGCCTATTTCATAGATGAGAATAAAAGTGACTACTATAAAGATGCTTACATATAAAGACAAAAAGATGGATCCTTTTTGAAAAGAATTTAACATAATAAAACTGTGAAATAAATCAGTATACACATAAATATTCACTTTTCTCAAGGCAAAATCTCAAATCTTCTATTCCCGTAAAGGAAGCACACTTTCAACAGCATTGAGTAATTGGATTATAATCCCATCGAGTCCATCAAAATGATCCTCTGTTTTTCTCAGGGGAGAGATTGGGTTATGGCCTGTTGCTATCTCCTGGCTTTGCCCTAGACTCTGGTTGTATGCATATCTGACTGCCACCATTTTGCAAATATCTGGTAAAACTACATCATATTCCTTCTTACTTAATGCAAGAGTAAATCAAAGGTCAGTTTTCAAAGTCAGTTTTCCATGTGTGACATACCCATATATAAGTTTTCTTAATTTCATTCTTTCAGAGATACTTTTATGTTTTTGCCTGTGTGTTTTTGTGGGGGAGAAGGAGACAGGGGAGTAAAATATTTGTGTTGTTAACTGGGGAAAACTTGTTGAGAGGTTAATAAGAAAGATATTAAAATTGTGTAAAATGAAGTACAGATTATAAATCAATATGTAACATTCTTGAGAAGACATAAGTTATTCAAAATCTTGTACCAGGCAGATAAATAGCCTTTGAATGAGTCTCCTATTTATTGAGGAAAGAGATTGGAGGAGAAAAGCTATTAGGCAATTTAATTTTAGGTGTACGATAAAAAAAAAAAAAAGCACATTATGGTTTGAGGACTTCTAGTTACCCGTGAAGGAATGATACCATTACCAGAGGATTTGCGGAAAACTGTGATCTCTTTCCACATTGGATTCCGGCCCATAACTGCTTTAAGTTACACTAGTCACTTCATTGTGTTAACATTCCTGAGAAAAAGTGATTTTAACAGAGATCTGAGGAATTATTTAGTATAAGCTAAAGATAACACAGATTATTTTTCAGGCAAAAAAATTTCAAATTTTGAGATGCTTTTTGGTACATACAGTCAATTGGAAAAAAATCCAGGTTGACTAAAATATAGAGATCGAGAGAAACAGGGAAATGAAAATGGAGAGGGAGGCAAGATCCAGGTCATGCTGATCTTTACAATCCCTGCCAACATTTTCAGAGTAATGTAAAGGGCAAGCAGAATGCAATGAATAATTTAAGTCTGGAAGTGACAATCATGTTTATATTTTGAAAAGAACCCTCTGGATTTTGAGTGGAAAGAATGATTGTGGTAGTAGAGGCAGATGTATTCATTTATGAGCTATCACAGCAGTTCAGAGGAGCAATTATGACAACCTGCAGGAGTTACTGGGGACTGAGGGAAAAAATATCAAGATATATTTAAAAAAAGCATTTGATTTTTGATTTGATGTGTACGTAAGGATGGAAGGCAGTTAAGAATAACTCCAGATATTTATTGAAGATAGTTTTAATTCAACAAATATTCATGGACATCTTTCAATTCTTAAACAATTTAGGACATGCAAGTTATGAAATCTGTATTCTTATCCTTAAAAATGTGCAAAGCAATTATTTCCAGAGCTTTCTCAGTTCCATATTTATGTGTTAATCAAAAGAATAATTCTGTAAACGGGGCTACTTAATTGATAGATTTGTTTTGTTCTAGAAAGAACAAATGAGAGTATTATTCAAAGCCTGCTAGCCAATTTCCTTACCTGCCTTGATAAGTCAATGATACTATTTAGAAATCTTGTCCTAGTATAGTTGTTGCTATTTTATGGAACTCTACATTTTTATTTGGGAGTTTTTATACTTTTCCCTTTGTATTTATTGTTCTAGCATTTCAGGATAATGTGTCTATATGTTTTTATTTTTCTCTCGTCTAATCTATACGGCACTCTGGACATTATTTCAGTCAGAAGTCTTACAATTTCTGTGATTCCTGTTTTACTGCAATCTATTATACCTGGACTTATTTGAACTATGTGTTCACTCTTAAAATTTTATGCCTGCTCATGGATTCATAAGTTTTTTCCATATTCCTTATCTGCTTTGCTTAACACCAACACCTCTCCCTTTCTCAGTCTAGGAGGTATTGACCTTATTTTTATTTTTATTTTTTAGTGGATACTATCACATTTTAAAAATGCATAATGTGTTAGGCTGTTTTTGCATTGCTGTAAAGAAATACCTGAGATTGGGTAATTGGTAAAGAGGTTGAATTGGCTCATAGTTCTGCATGCTGTACAGAAAGCATGGTGCCAGGATCTGATCAGCTTCTGGGGAGGCCTTAGGGTGCTTTTATTTATGGCAGAAGATGAAGTAGGAGCTGGCACATCACAAGGCCAGAGAAGGAGCAAGAGTTGTGAGACAGGTGCCACAAACTTCTAAACAACCAGATCTCACGAGAGCTCACTCACTTGCCACAAACTTCTAAACAACCAGATCTCACGAGAGCTCACTCACTTGCCACAAACTTCTAAACAACCAGATCTCACGAGGGCTCACTCACTTGCCACAAACTTCTAAACAACCAGATCTCACGAGGGCTCACTCACTGTCATGAGGACAGCACCAAGCCATGAGGGACCCGACACCATGACCCAAACACCTCCCACCGGGAACCTCCTCGAACATTGGAAATTACATTTCAACACAAGATTTAGGGTAACAAATATCCAAACTATAATATAAGGTAAACTGTTTTTTTTCCTAACGTCATCTGAAGTTATTCTGCATCTCTAGCATCTTTTTGATCAAGTAAGTCAAGGACTGTGGCCGTTTTAATCTCCTTATTGAATACTCCCAAAACACTGGGTAATTATTTTGCTATTCTTGTTATTTAAGTTTTAATTGCTTACAGACCAATAATTTTATTGTTTTTGAGCAATTTATTTGATCATCAATTTCTTTGCATCCCACTTCTTTATTCCTTGGTCATTTAACTTCATTCAAAGGTGCACCCAATAATACTTTTCTGGTGGAGATCTGATCGTTGTAAATTTAGTCTTCTGTATCTGAAATATGTTTATTCTATCTTCACTCTTCAATGACTATACAGAAATATTGGTTTTTATCCGATTACTTTAAACTTATTATTCCATTGTCTTCTGGAATATATATATATACACACACACAAATATATAATATGTAATATAGAATTATATATTATATATTATATATTAATATATAATATATATACTTATATATTATATATATATTATATATTAATATATAATATATATACTTATATAATATATTAATATATTATATAGAATTATATATTATATATTAACATATAATATATAGAATTATATAATATGTTAATATATAATATAGAATTATATATTAATATATTATATAGAATTATATATAATATATTAATATATAGTATATACTGTATATAGTCTATATAGTATATACTGTATATAGTCTATAGTATACTATATTTTATATATACTATATAATATATAGTATATATAGTATATATACTATATATACTACATTATATATAGTATATATACTATATATACTACATTATATATAGTATACTATTATATAAAATATATAGTATATATACTACATACACTACGTTATATGTAGTATATATACTACATACACTACGTTATATGTAGTATATATACTACATACACTACGTTATATGTAGTATACTATTATATAAAATATATAATATATAAAATATATAAAATATATAGTATATATACTATATATACTACGTTATATAGTATATATACTATATATGCTACGTTATATATAGTATATATACTATATATGCTACGTTTTATATAGTATATATACTATATATGCTACGTTTTATATAGTATATATACTATATATGCTACGTTTTATATAGTATACTGTTATATAAAATATATAGTATATATACTATGTATATATACTATATATATACTATATAGTATATACTATACTATATACTATATACTATATAATATATACAAATATATATATTTATATATGATATATATTATATATTATATATATTTATATTTATCATTTATATTTATAATATATATATTTATATTTATCTTATATATAAGACAAAAAGAATAAGGTAAATATGGGATTCCCAGAGTTTAAAAATAAAAGTTCAGTGTGCCTAGTTAAATTTGAATCTCAAATATGTTTTAAAAATTTAAATGCTCTTTAGCTTTTATTTTAAGATCAAGTATACATATGTAGGATATGCAGCTTTATTACATAGGTAAATGTGTGTCAAGTGGGTGTATTGTATGGATTATTTCATCAGCCAGGTATTAAGCCTGGTACCAATTAGTCATTTTTTTCTGATCCTTTCCCTCCTCCCACCTTCTGCCCTCTGGTAGGCCCCAGTATTTGTCATTACCCTTTAAGTGCCCATGTGTTCTCATCATTTAGCTCCCATGTATAAGTGAGAACATGTGGTATCTGGTTTTCTGTTTCTGTGTTTGCTTGCTAAGGATGATGGCCTCCAATTGCATTCATGTACCTGCAAAGGACATGATCTCATTCCTTTCTATGGCTGCATAGTATTCTGCTATCATTGATGGGCATTTGGGTTGATTCCACGTCTTTGGTATTGTGAATAGTGCTGCAGTGAACATACACATGTATGTGTTTTTGTAACAGGATGATTTATCTTCCTTTGCGTATGTACCGAGTTATGGGATTGATGGGTCAAATGGTATTTGTGTCCCAATATCTTTGAGGAATTGCCACACTGTCTTCCTCAGTGGTTGAGCTAATTACCAATTTACACTCCACAAACAGTACTTTTTGACGTTTTAATAACAGCCATTCTGACTGGTGTGAGATGATATCTCGCTGTGGTTTGATTTGTATTTCTCTAATGATCACTGATGTTGAGCTTTTTTTTTATACTGTTTTCCACACGCATGTCTTCTTTTGAGAAGTGTGTATTCATGTCCTTTGCCTGTTTTTAATGGGGTTCTTTGCTTTTTGTAAATTTGTTTGTTTCTTATAAATGCTGGATATTAGACCTTTGTTGGATGCATAGATTGCAAAATTTTTCTCCCATTATGTAGGTTGTCTGTTTACTCTGTTGATAGTTTCTTTTGCCGTGCAGAAATTCTTTAGTTTAATTATATCCTGTTTGTCGATTTTTGCTATTGTTTCCATTGGTTTTGGTGTCTTCCTCATGAAATCTTTGCCCCTGCCTATGTCTTGAATGGTATTGCTTAGGTTTTCTTCTAGAGTTTTAATAGTTTTAGGTTTTACTTTTAAGTCTTTAATGCATCTCGAGTTGATTTTTTATATGGTGTAAGGGGTCCAGTTTCAGTTTTCTGCATATGGCCAGCCAGTTCTCCCAGCACCACTTATTAAATAGGAAATCCTTTTCCTTTTGCATTTCTTTGTCAGGTTTATCAAAGATCAGATGGTTGTAGGTGTGTGGTCTTATTTCTAAGTTCCCTACTCTGTTTCATTGGTCTATGTGTCTGTTCTTGTGCCAGTACCATGCTGTTTGGGTTACTGTAAGCCCTGTAGTATAGTTTGAAGTCAGGTAGTGTGATGTCTCCAGCTTTGTTCTTTTTGCTTAGGATAGCCTTGGCAATTCAGGCTCTTTTTAGGTTCCATATAAATTTTAAAATAGTTTTTTCTAGTACTGTGAATTATGTCAATGGTAGTTTAATGAGAATAATACTGAATCTATAAATTGCTTTGGGCAATATGGCCAGTTTCACAGTATTTATTCTTTCTATCCATGAGCATGGAATGTTTTTCCATTTGTTTGTGTCCTCTCTGATTTCTTTGAACAGTGGTTTGTAGTTCTCCTTGTAGAGATCCTTCACTTCCCTTGTTAGCTGTATTGCTAGGTATTTTATTCTTTTTGTGGCAATTGTGAAAGGGAGTCTATTTGTGATTTGGCTCTCAGCTTGCCTGTTGGTGTATAGGAATGCCAGTGATCTCTGTATCTCTGCCAGGTTTTGGTATTGGGATGATGCTGACCTCATAGAAAGTTAGGGAGGAGTGCCTGCTTTTTGACTTTTTTGAATAGTTTCAGTAGGAATGGTACCAGCTCTTCTTTGTATCTCTGGTATAATCCAGCTGTGAATCCATCTGGTCCTGGGCTTTTATTGGTAGGCTATTTATTCCTGCCCCAATTTCAGGACTCACTATTGGTTGGTTCAAGAATTCAATTTCTTCCTGGTTCAGTCTTGGGAGGGTGTACATGTCCAGGAATTTATCTGTTCTAGATTTTCTAGTTTATGTGCATAGAAGTGTTTATAATATTATCTGATGGTTATTTATATTTCTGTGTTGTAAGAGGTAATATCCCCCTTATGGATTTGTTGCTCTTTTGAAGGGTTTTTCGTGTCTCTGTCTCCTTTAGTTCAGCTCTGATCTTGGTTATTTCTTGTCTTCTGCTAGCTTTGTGGTTTGTGTGTTCTTGATTCTCTAGCTCTTTTAGTTGGGATGTTAGGTTGTTAACTTGAGGTCCTTCTAGTTTATGGGCATGTTATAAATTTCCCTTTAACACTGACTTATCTGTGTCCCAGAGATTCTGGTATGTTGTATCTTTTTTTCTCATTAGTTTTGAAGAACTTCTTGATTTCTGCCTTAATTTCATTATTTACCCAAAAGTCATTCAAGAGGAGGTTGTTCTGTTTCTATGTAGTCACATGGTTTTGGGTGAATTTCTTAGTCTTGTGTTCTAATTTGATTGTGCTGTTGTCCAAGAGATAAGTGTGTTATGATTTCAGTTGCATTTACTGAGGAATGTTTTACTTCCAATTATGTGATTAATTTTAGAATAAGTGCCATGTGGTCATGAGAAGAATGTATATTCTGTTGTTTTGGGGTGGAGAGTTCTGCATGTATCGATTAGGTCCACTTGATCCAGAGCTATGTTCAGGCCCTGAATATCGTTGTTATTTTTGTCTCAATGATCTGTCTAATATTGTCATTGGGGTGGTAAATTCTTCCACTATTATTGTGTGGGAGTCTAAGTCTCTTTGAATGTCTCTAAGAATTTGCTTTATGAATCTGGGTGCTTCTCTGTTGGGTGTGTGTATATTTAGGATAGTTAGGTCTTCTTGTTGAATTAAACCCTTTACCATTATGTAATACCCTTTTTGTTTTTTGATCTTTGCTGTTTTAAATTCTGTTCTGTGAGACACTAGGACTGCAATCCCAGCTTTTTTCCATTTTCCATTTGCTTGGTAAATTTTCCTCTATCTCTTTATTTTGAGCCTATGTGTGTCTTTGCATGTGAGATGGGTCTCTTGAAGACAGTATAGTGATAGGTCTTCATTCTTTACCCAGCTTGCCACTCTTTTTTTTTTAATGGAGGCTTTTGCCCATTGATATTTAAAGTTAGCATTATGTGTGGGTTTGTTCCTGTTATCATGATACTACCTGGTTATCTTATAAGCTTATTTATGTGGTGGCTTCACAGTGTTGCTGGTCTGTGTACTTCAGTGTGTTTTTGTAGTGTTTGGTAATGGTTTTTCCTTTCCATATGTAGTGCTTCTTTAAGGAGTTCTTGTAAGGCAGGTCTGGTGGTAATGAATTTCCTCAGCATTTGTTTGTCTGAAAAAGATCTTATTTTTTTTCTTCACTTATGAAGCTTAGTTTGGCTGGATATGAAATTCTGGGTTGGAGTTTGTTTTCTTTAAGGATGTTGAATATTGGCCCCCAATCTCTTCTGGCTTGTAGGGTTTCTGCTATAAGGTCTACTGTTAGTCTGATGGGTGTCCCTTTGTAGGTGACCTGGCCTTTCTCTCTGCCTGCCTCAGCCCAGTTCTGATCTGTTTCTGGAGAGGTGTTTTGGTCATTTGGAGGAGAGAGGACATTCTGGCTTTTTGAATTTTTAGTGTTTTTGAGCTGATTCTTTCTCATTTTTGTGGGTTTATCTACCTTTGATCTTTGAGATTGTATTGCTGACCTTCTATGGGGTTTTTTTGGTTTTTTTCGGGTTTTGTTTTCGTTTTCTTTTAACAGTCTGGCCACTTTTCTGTAGGGCTCCTGCAGTTTTCTGAGGATCTGCTCCAGACTCTAATCATCTCAGATTTTCCAGTACCTGGACATATTACCAGTGAAGCCTATAAAACTGCAAAGATGGCACCCTGCCCCTTCCTCTGGGAGTTCCATCCCGGGGGATATGGACCTGTTGCTGGCTCACACACAACTATAGGGTGTGTCTGGACACCCTGACTGGGAGGTCTCACCCAGTCAGGAGTAACGTGATCAGGGACCTACTTAAAGAAGCAGTCTGCCTGTGTTTTGGTAGAGAATCTGTGCTGTGTTGGGGGATCTCTTCAGGTCCCAATCAATTTGGGCTCTACAAAGACCATAGGCTGGAATGGCTGAGTCACCCAAACAGCAAAGGTGGCAGCCCATCTCACCTCTTGGGCATTCCTTCCAGGGAGAAATTAGAACTCTGTTGGTCATAGAACACAGGAGGGGGTAGCTGAAGCCCCAGCTGAGAGGTCCCACCCACTAAGGAAGAATGGATTGGGGTCCCATTTAAAAAAGCAGTCTGGCCATGCCTCTGCAAAGCAGCTCTGCCATGCTGGGGCATTGCCTCTGCCCTGGTTAGCTTGGACTCTCCAAAGCCCTTAGGCTAAGAACAGCTGAGTTGCCCAAACAGCAAAGGTGAGTGGCCTTCCCCTCCCTCCAGGCACTCCATCCCATGGAGAAATCAGAACTCTGTCTGTAGAATGTGGGTGGGGTTGACTGGAGGCCTCAGTTGGGAGGTTCCATTCAGTGAAGAGGAATGCATCAGTCTCCTGCTTAAAGAAGAAATCTGGCCATGTTTTGGTAAAGCAGCTGTGCTGTGCTGGGGGATCCCTTTCTCGTCTGGTCCATTTGGACTCTCCAAAGCTTGCAGGCTGGAACTACTGAGTTGTGTGAACACCAAAGATGGCGGCCTGCCCCTCCCCATGGGAGCTCCTCCCATGTCAGATAGGTGCTACCCTGTTCCTAGTGACTGACTGGAATTCCAAGTCAGTTGGTCTTATCTTGTGAGGTGCCGTGAAAGTGGGGCCTGCAGACCAGTGCTGCTCAGCCTCCTGGATTCAGCCCCCTTCTAGGGGTTATGTACAGACCTCCCACCTTGTCTGAATTGCAGTCACCTTTGCTGGGAATCCCAAGGGCTGGAGTATGTAAAGCTCCCAGGTCTCTGTGTATGTCCCAGAAGCTGCTCTACCAAGAGTCCACATAGCTTTGTGTCAGACCTAAGTCCCTGATAGAGTGAATCCACGAGGGGATCTCTTAATCTGAGGGTTGCAAATACCTGTGGGAAAAGCATGGTTTCCTGGTGTTGCTCATTCACTCAATGCTACTCTTTGCTGAATGTGGGTGTTCTCTTGGCTCTGCTTGGCTCCCTAGTGGATTATTGCCCTGGCCTGCTTTTCCCTGTTTTGTATGGATCAAGCTGTTTCCATGATCAGTCCCAATGCGAGTACCTGAATATTTTAGTTAAAGGTGCTGTATTTACTCACCCCTTTTGTTCCTCTCCATGAGTGCCATGCACTGTAGCTGCTTCTGATCAGCCATCTTGGCCCTACTGTCTAAATGTTCTTTTAATGACGGGGCAAAACATGCTGACACTTTGATAGATGAAAAGCAGGAACGTTTTGTTATCTGCAGATCCAAAAGGGAGAAGGCTATAAAACAGGAGCCACACAGGGGCTTTACCCAGGGACAAGATAACAGTAAGCTGGAGCTGTTGTGAGCAGCTTACTCATGCCAAGTAGTGTGGTGTTAGCTATATTTTCTGGACTCCCTATGGACTGGCTAATTAAAATAATTTTGCAGGTTTCTGAAACGTGTCAAAGAGAAGTGTTGGGGTACAGATGCATATTACCTTTAAACGTAGGTATATGCTTATGAAACCATCACCACCATCAAGGTAATAGGCATATTCATTACCTCTAAGAGTGTCCTTGTCCTCTGTTTTGTTTTCAGGTTTTCTTTGTTAACATGATTTCAACAAGTTTTTAACTGCATCATACATTATTGTTAACTATAGGCACTGTGTTGTATAACAGATTTCTAGAATTTATTCATTTATATAACTAAAAATTTATACCCATGAAACAGTAATGCCCCATTTATCCTCCCTACAAAGGCCCAGATGCCTACTATTCTATCCTCTGCTTCTATGAGTTTGCCTATTTTAGATACCTCATTATATGTGGAATCATACTGCTTTTTGTATTTCTATGACTGGCTTATTTCACTTAGCATGATATCCTCAGGGTTCATTCATGTTTTCACAAATTTCATAATTTCCTTCTTTTTAAGACTGAATAATATTTCCTTTTATAAATAAACTACACTTTCATCAACCTTTGTAGAATAAGTATGTTCTATGAAATATTTGAGATATACTTAAATTCATTTTTATCTGGAATTTAAATTTAGCCAGGTATTTTATATTTTACCTGGCAATCCTTGTCTATTATCTTATATTTTCTATAATAGGCAGTCTGTCATGATCTAGAGAAATTGCCTACTCTATTACAGGAAGTCTCTTTTAATCTCCCTGGTAAGGTTGAAGAACATTATACCTTTGTCCTTGACATGTAAATATTTTCACAAAATATATCTAGATTTTGATTAAATCTTGTTTATGGTCCCATATACTAATGTGTATTTTTCAACCTAAATTCTCATGTGTTTCCTCAGTTTGGGAAAATTCTTAGTAGTTGTCCCTTCAAATATAATTTGTCACTACTCCATCTATCGCATTCTCCTGAAACTCTTAGTACATCTTAGCTCTCGAAACTATCATCATATCTTTTAAATATTATTGTATGTGTTTATGTCATCTGAGTGAATTCTCAGTTCTGTTGGTTAGGTTCAGTAATTCTTATTTTAGATTCATTCTATTGTTTTTGCTTAGTATCTGTTGCTGTATCTTTCATTCCCATTATTTCTGATTTTTATTATAGTCATTGATTCTAAATTCTGTATTTCATAGTCCTATTTTATATATGTTCAAATATTATTTTTAGTAGTAAACAAACTTAATATACCATTCAGTTTTTTTGTTTTTGTTTTTGAGACGGAGTCTCGCTGTCGCCCAGGCTGGAGTGCAGTGGCGCCATCTCAGCTCACTGCAAGCTCTGCCTCCCAGGTTCATGCCATTCTCCTGCCTCAGCCTCCCAAGTAGCTGGGACTACAGGTGCCCACCACCATGCCTGGCTAATTTTTTATATTTTTAGTAGAGATGGGGTTTCACCATGTTAGCCAGGATGGTCTCGATCTCCTGACCTCGTGATATGCCCGCCTCGGCCTCCCAAAGTGCTGGGATTACAAGCGTGAGCCACTATGCCCGGCCCAGATTTTCTTTATTTTAAATATATCTGGCTAATTGCACATAGCAGTTGTTTACTTTATGATTATCTTTCTTGATGTTAATGTCTTCCTATTGTGTTTCCATCTCAACTATGGTAGGAGGTCCTTTCTTCTCTCTCTCTCTGTCTCTCTCATCCTCTCTGTGTGTATTCTTGATTACCTTCATTTAGCTTTCTAGGCTTCTAAAGGAGACAACAATTTTTGAAAGAAAGTTAGGGCTCCTACTACCCGAAAATATTGTAAAAATACTTCTCTAGTCACCAAGCCACTAAGCTGCTTGTCTAACTTTCAGAACAATAAGCTATGTCTTGATCTCTACTCATTAGGACCACAAAGCTGTAAATTATAGCCCATGCATTGGTCTTTTGAAACATTTTTGTGGTACTTAATTTGTGAAATTACATATAACTTTATTCCTGTTGGAACTACTATTTTTTAATTGTGGTAAAATATATACATAATAAAATTTACCATTTTAATTATTTTAAGTGTACAGTTTATGGAATTGAATTCACATTGATGTGTAACCATCCTCACTGTCTATCTCCAGAACTCTTAACATTGTCCAGAACAATGGAAAGTCGTGTGGCCAATTTTAATCCTTGCCACATCATATGATACAAAATACTAACTGTAGCTTTAGAATATAACATGGTTGGATTCTCCGCATCCAAATCTAATTTTGAATTATAATCTCCACAATCCCCAGAATCCCCACATGTAAAGGGAGAGACCAGGTAGAGGTAATTGAGTCATAGGGGCAGTTTCCCCACGCTGTTCTCATGATAGTGAGTGAGTTCTTATGAGATCTGATGGTTTTATAAGTGTTTGGTATTTCCTCCTGACTTTGTTCTCCTTCCTGCCGCCCTGTGTAGAAGGTGTCTTGCTTCCCCTTCACCTTCCACGGTGATTGTAAGTTTCCTGAGGCCTCCCCACCCTGTCTCTGGTAGTTCTTTATAGCAGTGTGAAAATGAACTAATACAGAATCCTTGTCCTTTGAATTTTTATTCCAAGGGATCTTACTATAATTTTGAACTTGAATATTGGTTTGCATCATTTTAATATTTATTCATTGCCATTTATAGAAAGACTGTGGATGCAGACTTAAAGAAAAAGACTTACAATATCATCTTCAAGCTGAAATGTTTAATATGAACACATGTTTAGAATGTTTTGGCATAATCTTGTTTCTTTCCATTCAGTTTTCATACTCTTCATTTAACAGTGTGTTCACCTTCAGTGGAGGTTAAGCAAATGCTATTCCTTCTATATGGAGTACTCAGGCTATTTATCACCCCTGTAGAGGACATGCTAAACACTCCACATTCCTATGCTTCTTTCTCCTACGATGTTCTGGATGTCGTCTCTTCTATTCCACTATATAAGAGTTCTTAATCATAGAAATGTGTACTTAAAAGTTCACTCTTGTTTATCAAAAATTACAAGGCAAATAGTAAAATGCAGTTACATAAAATGTCAAGTAATTCCATAACAAAAAATAAATTTCTTTGAAACATTTTTTTTTTATTGTGCCAGAGACCATGATGTTTTGTCCAGGAACCTGATATTTTTCTTTATAAAATGGAAGATAGTAGAAATAGTCCCTGAATGCCACCTGAAGAAACAAATAAGTGAACATTTGTTGAGAGTCAATTAATACAGTCACTTGTATTCCTAGTAGTTATATTATTTTAAGTTACCTGAAATGCTCAGCTAGTCAATAGTGAACTATTGTTCCTAGGGAAATACAGGGCTAGGTTCCCACCACTGTCTAGTGATAGACTTTTATCACCTGTTCAATATATAACCATGGCTCATATATGTTTCCGTTCAAAAATACTGAAGCAGGGAATTTTTCCTGACCTCTTCATGGGCAGAAACTGCCCCTGCCGGCGGTGCCAAAGCAACTGGCACTGGAGCCAACTGGCTGCTTCAGCACAGGCAGACTCGAACTCCACTCACTCAAACCCCTTGTGCTCCACCCCTCATGGGAGGGATCATGCAGGTAGTGGGTGCAAGAGCTGGGGACAGTGCTTTTGGGCACCAGTAGGAGCAAAATTCTGTGTGGGCCCCGCATCAGCAGCATCTAAGGGAGAGTACCCATGACGGCCCAAAGCCGCAGAGTGTTACAGTCAGCCGTCTTTTAGCATTGTCATCAGTAGACAGCTTACGTATTCATAGCTCAGTGGGCCCTCTGTCTTTTTGCGTGAGGCAGCTGCCTTCCACCAGCAGCGGCAGAGGGTCAGTGTGACAGCCTTTTGCATCCTCACCCATGGTACCCAAGCTCTTGTTCAGCGTCCCTGAAAAATCAGGACACACAAATGAATTGAAGGGTGATAATATGGTTTGGCCGTGTCCCCATGCAATTCTCATCTTGAATTGTGGTTCTCCTAATCCGAACACATATTGTAGGAGGGGCCAGGTGGAGATAATTGAATCATAGGGGCAGTTTCCCCTACACTGTTCTCATGATAGTGAATAAGTCTTACGAGATCTGATGGTTTTATAAATGGGAATTTCCCTGCACAAGCTCTCTTGCCTGCCACCACGTGAGATGTGACTTCGCTCCTTTTCCTTTATAAGTTACCCAGTCTCGGGTATGTCTTTATTAGCAGTGTGAGAATGAACTAATACAGGTGGTGAATGCAATGGATTTTATTGCTGATGAAAGTGGCTCTCAGCAGGAAGGGGAGCTGGAAAGGGGACAGAATGGGTAGATTATCTTCCCCTGGAGTCCAGGCTTCCCCAGCCAGACTTGTCCTCAAAGCCACACTGTCAAGCTGTTCCTCTAAAGTCAAGCTGCTTCTCTCTGACATCCAGCTGTAGTCTCCACCACCCAGCTACTGCTTCTCTTCTCAACGTTCAGCCACTTTTCTCTGCCAACCAGGTCAGGGGTTTTCTTGGGTACAGGATGAGAGACGGGGTGGGCAATGGGTGCTTTTGCAAAAGGCAGCATTCAAGTGGGAAAACAGGAATGCGTGTTCTCACTTTGGGCTGTGGTTCCAAGCTTGAGGGTGGGGCCTTTGCCAGGGACACACCCTCTTCTGCCCAGAATTTCCCTGCCTCCTCTCCCTATACTTTATTTGATACATGTTGTTGATTTATTAACATTGAACTTATGGCCAACAGCACCATAAATTCTGCCCCATCAAGATTTGCGTAACACATAGAATTTCTCCATAAGGCATGGCGTAGCCTTCTTGTGCTTAGGAACACAAAACAGTATTTCAGCATTGTATTTGAGAGACATTTTAAACAGCAAAACACACACAAACATGGAAAAAATTGTGGCAGCAAATATATCACATAAAAGACACTTGTTTAGACTCTGAGAGCTGAGATGAGAGAGAGCATTGTCTTGTTCAGCCTCAGCTGGGGCATGCACACTGGGAAACTCAAATATTTTCCCTATCTGTGCATGTCCACAGATGACTACAAAAGTGCTATAAGTATGGATTTTGGGGATGCAAATATATTTTAGTGAGTAGGAGAATTTGGAATATGAAATCTGTGAACAATGAGGATTGCCTGTACCAGGCAAAACTCTTGTGTGAAATAAAATAAAAGCCCAGGAATGAGGTGATGATTGGGAAGATCAAATGATCTGTTGTATAGAAATTGAAATGATGAGAATATCAAATCCCGATATTATTTGATTTCTGACACACTGTATAGGTTTAAAAAATAAAAGTAAAATAGATTTAAATAATTGAAAATATAAAATTTGTCTTGGTGACTTTTATATATCTCAGTTCTTAGGTTAAAGTGAATTTTTACTAAATATGAATCAGAAAGAAAAAATTTGTTTCGCACTACTTAATTTACCAAGAAAAAATAAATATTAGCATTTAATATATTATTAATACAGAGGTTAAAGTGAACTAATTTCTACAAAAAGACCAAAAGAAATAAACTTTATTTATATATATGTATATATTACATATATAAATACACATGTGAAAGAAAAAGTCTTTATATATGTGTGTGGAAGTAAACAAATTCATCAACACAATACCAAGAACTTTATACACACATTAGGATAACATATGTACATTTTTTGGTCTTAACATAAGAGTTTCAGTTTAATATATAGGTAATCATTAGCAGTTTGTTTTAATGGTATTTGTATTTTTCTTATATCATTCTTGGGGACTTATACAATTCTAATTCCACATAGTAATGGAAATGAAATAATTTTGTAATATGTTCTCTTCTTGTTCTTTGATACAGAAATATATTAATAGCATTTTAAATTCTTTTTACAATTACAATTTCAAGTTGAAAGATTACACCTTCAAATGGCCAATACCTTTAGCAAAAATAAGCACAATATGACAGTGACCTTTTACATTCCAAATTTGCTTTTCTCAAGATTACGTCCCTGTACACAGGAAGAGCAGCATTGAAAAGTCATTCAAATCAAAAAGGAAAAGGTTAAATTAATAACTACTATGTAATATTGCTTTAGTGTCATGAAGAGTGACTACTGTCGTTTTTATATTTCTTTCCAAAGATTATAAAAATAATACATGGTACATTCTTCATGTTTTCTATAGGTAAGAAGAAAGTGATCAATATGCCACCCCTTTCACTGGCACTTATGTAGATTAGTAAATTCTGGGTCTTTGAACACAATCATGATTTTTCTCTTCTTAGATGCCATTGCTTACTAGTCAGCTTAGACTGTACAACCTAGGATATATAGTATTTAAGTAATCCAGGTAGTGACTCTAGAAAGAGTGAACAAGATAGGAATCTTACCTGCACCCTGCAGGAAGCATTACAAGATTAAGCAGAAAACATGTAAAGGACTTGCTTAACTTTCTCATTTTGTGTCCTTAGCTCCTTAAAACACAACTGAATTTACTGAGTGAGAGGAATGCTACTACAGGGGTATTGGTCTATTGTTTTTGAAGCAAATAATTACAAATATCTGTATTTTGTTATTAGCAAAAAGTTACTTCCATCACCACACCTATTTACGAAACAAATTTTAAGAAAATGTCTAGACCTCAAAAATGTATGATGCTGGTAGTATTTCGCCCTTTCAAAATAATTACATTAGAAGTTCTGTGTTTGCCCTTCTCTTAATTTCTTCCAGATGACCACCATTTCAAATGCCTTCACGGTGCATGTTTTACAGCACAGCTGAAAGTTATAAGACCATGATGATCATCCTTCTTGGATGACTGACCTATCAATCATTTTGGGAAATGCATCTTAGAAAAATTTGGTTATGAGACTGTATCCATTTGCAAAGTATCTATTTGGACTTTTTTTTAATTATAAACTTCTCAGGGAAATTGTTGCTACTGCTTATTGTGAAAAATTACAGTTGTTATGAGTATGAATATGCAACATGCAATTAGCAGAGATTGCAGCAGATATTTAGAGTTGTGAATATTCATATTGTATACGCATTTTATAAAGAATATACCATTTACATTTTAATCATAGAATTTTTAAGTGACAGTAAAGTTAATAAAACCATATTCTGCTTGCTAAAATGTTCCTGGCAATAAAAATGCTGCTGCAATACTAAAACTATGCTAATGATTGAGTAAAATTAATTTATTATACCCTTTACCTTCAATTTTATGTTCTTCAGGGAGTAATATAAAAGTGAAAAGGAAAAACTTCACTCAAAACTTTCAGTCTGTTTGGGTGATACAGCCACGGAGAGGCACTGCTCAGATGATCCTTCAAATATAACTAGCCAATCAGCTGGAACGACCTCCTGCTCTTTCCAGGCAGGTCCTAGCCAATGAGTGAGCCTTATGTGACCAATGGTAGGCCGAGGAAAATTTTCCCACAAAGCAAATTGATGGATAGCCCAAATTAACACACTAACACAGAAATATTGGTGTTGTTAAAATATTTATAATTTACTTTGAAATACTTTAAGATTGTGAGATGAAGCTCATTCTGTTTGAGTTATATAGTATCTCATCTGACACTGGTAACAATCAATTGCCCTGAGTGAGAATCTACACTCCCAGGTAGTTAGTTAACATTGTATCATTGAGCCCAAGCACACTAGAGGCAGCACTCAAGCCCTTCATTTATCTATCTCTTAATTGACACATAAAGTTTTATTTATTAGCATATAAAATCCAATACAAATAGTTGTATTGGCAAAATTCACAGCTTGTTTTGGAAAAATGAATAGTCTCTTATTGACAATGCTAAAAATAAAGAAAATAGACTGGACAACATGGTTTATAGATACTTGCCATCATGTATGCGGATATCATTAAAGCCCAGAGGGACCTGAGCCCTATTCCTTCAGAGATGGCATGATTGGCAAACAAGTCTTTGATGAGCTGCTTGCTCAGAAGCATTTCTTGTTGCTGATTTTAAATATATCAGTGATAGGCTCTTATCTCTGGATCACTGATAACTCTGCCAAATGTTGACTTTTCATAAAATATGATGAGACCATCTAAAGTACAAAGAGTTGAGACTTCATGGAGACAATAGGATAGATTTTATGATTGCCTTTATCCTTCTTTCTAAAGAAAATCTGATTAATAAATGCCTGTTTGTGTGGAATAATTTGCTCTAAGATTTAGTTTGATATAACTATCAGAAAAAGAAAAGAAAAACCAAATAGCCCTGACATCAAGGAAATACACTTGTCCTAAAAGTTAGGCCTTGGGATTATGAAGAATTGGCCTGGTGTGCATACATAAGCCATGACATTCTTCTGAAGAGCAGTCACATAGCAGAGCGACATCACACAAGATTTAAGACTGTGACCATAATGAAGTAGGGGGAGAAAACCACGAAAAATACACCACTCTGGTCTTTTTTTTTTGTCTGAGCATAGACAGAAACAAGGTAATTGAGCAACTACAAAAATGACCAGGTAGTCCTTTTACTTCTAGCTAATACAAGTGACTAGTGATTCTTTATTAATTACAGCCTTAATTTCCTTCTGTTCTTCCCACCTTCTAGATAATGGTAATATGTAAAATCATAGAATTATTCCCACTTCCTGATTGGATTTAACCTACAACAAAATAACATTTTCTTACACCTTGTGCACAATTACCTAACACAAGCACAAATCCTGTAAGTTCTTCCCAACACCCTCTGACTAAAACATCCCCAGTTACACGTGTGTCCTCCCTTTCTGCAACTTGGTGATCAACATGAGTTGTACAACTACAGATCTGTTCCCACTGGTCTCTGATGATGGGAGGGCATTGACACTTAGGAATGCTCTAATTCCAATTCTTAAATGTTCCTCTATTTTTATATGGTAGAAACCATTTAGTTAAAAATAACACTAAAGATTTTAGCTGATAAAATTTAAAGCAAGGTTCTTTAACAAGGATGTGTGTATTTGAATAGGGTCCCTGGTTCTAGAATTAGTCAACACTTTGGCATAGGGCTTCCTTGAGATATTTTACTCCCTATTTCTTTCCACATTAATATTAAATATTAAGTAGTCATAAGGAAAATCCTCTGTCTTAACAAGTTTGGAAATGAGATATTTATATTACAACATGGCTTTACCAACTAAACTTTGTGTTTTGCCCTGCTGTCACTCTGTAGTCTCATTCAGTTATAAAAAACGCTTAGAATGATCTCAAAATCCTGTTTGTTGCTTTTATTCGCATTTAGATGATAGAGTAAATGCTCTTTATTTCTGGCTCATAATTCATTCTATTTAAAATTATTTTCACCACTGCTCAATTTTGAAAAATATTTTGTACATCTCTTCCCAATGACATTGGCAACCTAAATACTGTGCTTGTGTATATGCAAAATTGAACTAATGTAAAGCAGATTTTAGTAACCTAATTCTTTTTAAAATTAGATTATTTTAATTTTGTTAATGTTTTTATTTTACAACAAATTACCTATAGATGAAGTTCTGCTATTAAAACAGTATCAGATTAACCACATCCTAAGTTATTAGCATACTTTTTTTATATAGAAAAGATATGCTGAAGTTCAACCTCTATGTTATCCTAATGTGTGTATAAAGTTCTTGGTATTGTGTTGATGAATTTGTTTACATCCAAAGAATGTCTATTTCTTCTTGATGCTATGACAAGCCATGTAACAAAGCTTCCTTGACGATAAAAGGTCAGGTAGATATAAAGGGCCCATAAGAAGAATACTGGACAAAGAGGTGAAAGAGAGAGAGAGAGAAGCCTAGTCCAACTCCACTTCTTCCAGCAATTCCAGCTGAGCAAGGATAATATAAATCTGATAATATAACTGTAGGCATCTTGGATACTTCAACCTCACTTAAGCTGCTAGCTGATTGCAGATACCGGAGTGAGTGAGTGAGCCCAGCAGACATTCCTTGGAGCAGAAAGGAGCTGCCAACTGAATACAGTCCAAGTTACAAAAACAGTCAACTCTTTTAGAGCAAGGACTCAGTCATCATCATCACTGCATCCCATAGGCCTAAAGCACTTAGTAATACTGTTGAAAAAAAGTGAATTGAGAATAACCTGACATGAAGAGATGGATTGAGGCTTCATGAAATCATAGGATAGAATCAAGTAAAGAAAGCCACTGAGAAATGGAGTCATCTTATATGAAACATATTTGGGGAGGGAAGCAGCAGGGAGACAGTGATGAGCCTAAGAGAAAGGATGTAACCATCTTCTTAGGGCACTTTATAGAAACATTGATGTCTCATAATGTAATGAATAAGTACTTTCTTAAAAATCGCATTGATACTGATGAAAATTTATAAATATTAATATAATTCAGGGCTGGGCGTGGTGGCTCCTGCCTGTAATCCCAGAACTTTGGGAGGCCTAGGTTGGGGGTGCTCACCTGAGGTCAAGAGTTCGAGACCAGCCTGGCTAACATGGTGAAACCTCATCTCTGGTAAAAACACAAAAATTAGCTAGGCATGTTGGCAGGCACCTGTAGTCCCAGCTACTTGGGACTCTTGAACTCCGGAGGTGGAGGTTGCAGTGAGCTGAGATTGTATCAATCCACTCCAGCCTGGGCGACAGAGCAAGACTCCATCTCAGAAAAAAAAAAAAAAAATACACACACACACACACACACACATATTACTTCCTGGATCATTCAGGACACAGGTCAAATGTCCCCCACACCATAAAGCCTGCCCTAACTTCCCAAGTCAGAGTAAGATCCTCCCTTCTCACTGCTCCCACAGTACTTGGCTCAGTGTGATCTCCATGTGAATGCTTACTACTTGGTACTCAAACTTCCCATTTACAAATTTCTATAGGCCAGAGAGTATACTCTAAATGCTAAAAGTAAAAAGAAAGAAAAAACCCAACAACAAAAGCAAAACAAAACAAAAACTCTCATTCCCCTAACTTGTCAAATAAGAGAATGAAAGAACACATTTTGAAACTATTCAGTAATACATAAAAGCTAAAAGCTATGTACTGTTACAATAGCAGTAACCAGCTTTGCACTCATCCTCATCTCTTCTCCAAGATCTCTTACATTTCAATTTCTATTCTAAGTTACTTACAGTGGAAATTTCTAGCTTTTCTCTGTAAATCTGCAGACTAAAATGATCTACACTAGTGCTGAGGCTTCCATTAGCAGGAACAATTGCAGTTAATATAACTCTTCTAAAGGACAAGTTATTTCATTATAATCAAAATGGAATTACATGCTTCCCCAAGATTAAACAAAGATGTTTGGTAAGCAAAAAACTCTACTTTAGCCTCTGAAGTCACTTGTATTTTAAGAAAACAAGTAAATGTATTTTAGGGGGGAAAAAAGTGACTCAATTCAAAAGAAAGTGTGCATGACGCACATCTCTCCTATTAATGGAGTATAAGTTATTTCCATTATGTCCATACATGTTCCACAGTGTTTACTTCTTTTTTTATTCAACACATTCTCATTAAGTAACCAAAATGTGCCAGGTTCTCTTCTTAGCCCTAAATATACATCAGTACAAGACAAAGTTGCTTTAGCAAGTGAAGTTAAAACAATGCATGTAAAACATATCATCACAACAGATAGTTGCATGTGCAATTAAGAAATGGCTCAGAAAGAGTAGAACTCTAGATGTGATGATGAGGTGAGCAGGAGGCCACTTTACCACTCTCAGGAAGGTTTCTCAGAGGAAGTGATATTTGTGCAGAAACCTGAATTAAGTAAGAAATATTCAGAGATCTAAGTAAGATCATTTCTGACAAAACGCTAATCATGTATTTGCAAACGTCTTGTTATAGAAAAATTGTGGTATGGTAGAAGGATAACAGAGAAGAATTTTTTGAAGTAAATCTAGGATATCTGTTAAAATACATTGAGACATAATCTGGCATAATTACCAAATAAATAGTTACTAGGTTTATTATTCTGTGATACACACAAAACATTATTATGCAATGTTGTGCAATATTTTGCTTTTAGGCAGTGGTTGTATGGTTTAAACTCACTTTATAAGCAATTAGATTATGTTGGGGTGTGAGGGTGAGTATCAAAATTTCTTTCTTCCATTCCCTATTTACTCCTCTATCTGGATTTAGAAACAACTGATAAACAAAGGAAAAATAAAAAGATAAGAATGTCAGCTTAGGTCACCTAAGGTCAGGAGTTCGAGACCAGCCTGGCTAACATGGTGAAACCACATCTCCACTAAAAACACAAAAATTAGCCGGGCGTGTTGGCGGGTGCCTGTAGTCCCCACTACTCGGGAGGCTGAGGCAGGAGTTATTTGCAAGTTGGAGGATATAACATAACTATAGATAAGTGAGTTCCTTAATATGACATTCCAGAATTAGGTGCAGATTTAATTACATAGTCTTTGGCAAAGATGAAACACTCCACGTAGCTTCTATCATGAAGCCCAGAGCAGACTAGAATATATATGTTTTCATAGTTTGGCCTGTAACCAAAATAGAGCCCAGAACTATTTCACGTCCAGAAGAATCTCTCTCACATCTAATTTCCTTCTCCACAGACCAAGACTGTTACTCTAGAAAAATCTTTCATAAAGAATTAAAATAAATTAAAACTAAAAATCACGCCTAATGGAAAAACATAAAGGGAAAGTGACCCTATGTCTTAATTAGCTGAGGACAGACCCAGTTAGCATTACTGATTCCACCAAATTGGTTTGTGGTAGCCACTTCTACTATAAACGACCCCAGTCACTCTAGGAATGTGTGTCCTCTACCAGTATATTCACATTTTGCTTCTTGTCTTTGGAAAGACATTTCAATTCATTTCATTTCTCACAGGTATAAAGAAATGCTTTAAACAATGAGAAACTTCTATATTTTCACTAAACAATTATGCTTATGCAGGAGGCTGATTTCAATATTAATTTAAATTAGGAATAGAGTGATCTTCATTTTAAAAATATTTTCAGTTATTATTAAAAGATATACCCATTACAAGTCTGGAATAAAAAGTCCTAATGAACAGAATAATTTCTAAAAGACCTAACAAGATTGACAGTCTCATCACTGACTCTCATTTTAATTAGGTGGTCTCCCTCTTGTATGTGGTTTTCACTGCCTGCTCAGATCTACTCCTCTAAATTCTTTCTGTTCTAACTTATACCATCGAATATTATCCCTAGTATCTCTTGTTCAAAGTACTGTAAAACTGCCAAACCCACAAATCAGCACTTTATTTCATCACATTTTTAATGAGGCGTATTTAAAAAGTTTATTAGTGGTAAAATTCAAATTGTAAGAAATTACAACTTATTCATAGAACTAGCTGCATTACATTCAAGTTTCCTATTTGATCTCACTTCAGCAGAATTAGTTATTAGGTATTTCATATGAGTTATTTGGTTGACATGATTTAGATTTACTAGAACTCAGTTGCTAAATTTTGGAAACATTTTCTAACTCTTTTGCTAATAGGAAAGTAATATATCCTTTTAAAAGAGGAAAATTTTTTTCACACGTGTGCATAATTACATGCTTCTACAAGGGATGTTTTTCTACATTGCCAAAAAACTTTGACAACCAGGCTTTAAATTTCCTTCAGACTAATTCCTTTACATTTTTTATATTTTAGTCATGGATTGCTTTATTCTTGAATGACACATTTCATATTTACTATTCTCCCCTTTCTAATACTTTTTATTATAAGAAATTTGATCAAATTCTTTCATACTGGATTATATAAAAAAAAGAACAGTTTGTTTTTAGTGTTTAAAAGCTATTAAATCATCTCAAGCACACATACACGTTTCCAAGAATATAAATTTTATGGGACCACAATGCAATAATCAAAAGAAGACATTATTCTTTAGTGTTCACAATAATATAATGCATTACCTAGAAAAAAATTACATCTCTGAATTATGTGCTAAAAGAAAATGGAACAGTATTTCTCAATAAATAACATCTATGTATTGGACTATTTTACCATTAAGTACAACTGATATTTTTTCATCAAACATGTAATAGATAAAATAATCATGCACAGATCTCATATTGAACACTTCATAAAAATGTATTGATATTTGTATTACAGCCAAATTTTTCAAAGCAAAATTATTGTGGACCAGATAGTTAATTGTTTCCTCATGTTGATTTTCCTGAATTCTATTAGTCTTTTAATGAAATAGACATTTTCTCTATTGTGCCCTAGTTAGAAGACATATCCCCTAGAAGAGCTAAATAGCTATCTTACGTCAAAAGATCGAAGCCAGTATTGAAATTGGCAGAACATTTATTCATGTTCACTGGCTGCTATGCGTCAGGCACTTTTCTAAGTACAGATGGAACTATGAACAAGGTAGATGAAAATCTCAACAATCATGTAGCATTCATTCAAGTGGATATTAAAAAAAAATACTTCCAGGAGAAACACAGGGAACACAATTGCTGATCTTCTAAATCACCTCTTAAAAATGTACTGTTCATCGAAAAGGAGGGCATCTCACCATGAAGGCCAGCTTCATATAATAGTATCTTAAGTCCTCTTTTTTCCTCCTCTTTCTCTGGAGCCAGTTTCTTCCTTCCTACTCTTTGGACAAAACTAAGAGGAATAGCTATGAGGGGAGATAGCTAACCTCCACTACAAAGTTCAAATTATTTAACTGCATATGGCAACATTCCAGGAAACAAATCTATCTTGTAAAAATCTCATGTTGCAATCAGTCACCACATAACACACATTAAAAATTAATGAGTGGTTTGTGGAGCCTAGGACCTCAACAACAAAATCAAAAAGCTCTGCTCTGACATCCTTCTAGATTCTACCATAATAGAATTGCCCCAGGTACACTCAGAATATTATAGAAGAGAAATGAACTTGTTTAACTTTTTGTTCTTTAGCCTTTATTACAGCAGCCAAACAATAATACAGCAAAACAATGAGTAAATATTGAATGAGTTTACAAACTTGCAATTGTTATTCATGAAAATATTATGCATTTACTCATTTCTACGTACTATATATGAAATATAGTCCTTATATTTCAGTACTACAGGGAAGTAATAATTTTATTGATGGAAATTGTTCCATCTAAAAAATAAACAGCAATGAAATTTAAGTAGTTTAAATGCACCTGTTTTGAGGTTAATATCAGGGTTGCAGTATAATTTTCTATGAAAATGTCTACTCATTCTAAATGAAACTTTCATCAGTCACTAGATACCATATGTTATAACTAACTAGTATTGTATGTTATATTGCATTTATCTGGCATAGAATATATAAATATTTCCCAAGTAATTAAAATTAAGAAGTTTATGATTGGCTACACTTGGCATTATCAGGCTAATTCTGTGTGTGTGTGTGTGTGTGTGTGTGTGTGTGTGTGTGTGTGCTTTTAAAGTAGAAAAAAAGCATTTGGCGAAATAAAACATCAGGTCTTCAGTTGTATTGCATCTGTGAGAAAACATTTTAAATGGTCCATTTTCTTTTCTTTTCTTTCCTTTTTTTCTTTCTTTTTTTTTTTTGAGACAGGGTCTTGCTCTGTTGCCCAGGCTGGAGTGCAGTGTGCAGTGGCGCATCTTGGCTCACTACAACCTCCACCTCCCGGGTTCAAGTTATTCTCTTGCCTCAACCTCCCCAGTAGCTGGGATTACAGGCGCGCACAACCATGCCCAGCTAATTTTTGTATTTTTAGTAGAGACGGGGTTTCACCATGTTGGCCAGGATAGTCTTGATCTCTTGACCTCGTGATCCGCCTGCCTCGGCCTCCCAAAGTGCTGGGATTACAGGCGTGAGCCACAAATGGTCCATTTTCAAGGCCTGATAAATCTAAGTACTGGCCGCCAGCCTGCAGATGTGACAAACCACATGGACCATGCACTTAGAAAGTGACAATAAGCGAACAAGATGTAGAGGAGGGGTCAGCCCATAAAAGGGAAGAAAGTTTTGCTACTGGGAAATCAAAACTTAAGCAGGGAAAGGGACCGGTTATAACTTTATCGGGGGATAATGAAACTTAGGTGATGTCCGGGAAGATAGTAACCCCATCGTACTCCACCAATGAGGAACTGGGGGAGGGACTTGTGTGCTAGGAGATAAATTACCTGCTGTAGCTGCCCTGGGTGTGCCTGCTTACCAGACACCGATCTTGCAAGACCGCATTAAAAGTTTCACTTTCGCTGTTCTTCGTGTCTCTGAGATCATTTGGGTTTGGATGGGTGAATGTGTTTCTCACATATCTAAATCTGAATTTATCTTTTATTGATTCTTTTTCCCTACCACTTTAAATTTATCCTATGTTGTGCATTTTGAGAAAGCCACAGATAAGATATGGCCAGAGCTCAGAAGAAGAATACTGTATTAGTCTGTTCTCACATTGCTATAAAGAATTACTGGAGAGTGGGTAATTTATTTAAAAAACAAATGTGGTTTAATTGGTTCGTGGTTCCACAGGCTGTACAGGAAGCATAGCTGGAGAGGCCTCAGGAAAATTATAATTATGGCAAAAGGCAAAGATGAAGGAGTCAAGTCCTTACATGGCCAGAGCAGGAGGAAAGAGAGCTGGGGGGAAGGTGCCACCCTCTGTGAAACTACTAGATCTCATGAGAACTCATTAATTATCCAGAGAACAGCAAGGGGGAAGTCCACCCCTATGATCCTCTCACCTCTCACCAGGCCCCTCTTCCAACATTGGAGGTTACAATTTGACATGAAATTTGGCTGGAGACACAAATTCAAACCATAAAAATGTACCATGTCCTCCATATACTCTCTGCAAAAGCAGTTCTTTAGCCCTCAAAACATATCCAATTGATATGAAAAATAGGAAAATATTTGCTTGGAATATATTTTGAAGTACAACACATTTATGCTTCAATAGGAAGCATAATCGCACTAATACCTACTTATTATCTAAATGCTTACTTGGAATAACTCATGTAATTCAGCCAAAAACATAATGAGTTGTTATTTTTCCCCTGTGTAAATAGGAAACCAGTCACAAACATTTAGGCAGTTTTGCCAAACCCATTCTTTTATGCTTTCAAATGTCAGGCATTCAAATCCTAGGACCATCATTCTTTAACAAATTCTAATAACATCCAAAACATTAGCATTTGGTATTTTAAGATGAATAAATTCTTTATTCATACCATAATTACATTGTTTTACAAAACCAGTGGCATCCATTTTCAATTAAATAAAATTATCTTTAAGCTAATAAAATGCTCACTTTGCAAAATACCCCCACTTTCTGTCAGCCATAGAACATTTTCATATAAAACCACTGATTTTGTATCACAAGTATGTGCTTAATCTTGTTATTATTGTCTTCATACTAAGAAATATTTTGTTTTATCCTAAAATTTGGGTCATCTGGAAGAAAGCTCCTTTCAATACTCCCACTCTAAATCACCAGCAATGGCAGCATGCAGCCTCTGTTCCAATCACCTGGAACTCTTTCCTGCTTCCCTAAATATATAATGTTCCAAAATGTATCAATCTATTTTCTATAAAGGGCCATACATTAAATATGTTTGGTATTATAGGTCACTGAGGCAGTGCTAAGGTAGCTATGGACAGGAAGTAAATAATAAGCAAACACATGGATGTGGCTGGGCCCTTATATACAATACCTGTATTTACCAAAACATGCAGCAGGCCAGATTTGATGAACAGCCCAGGGTTTGCTGAACCGTGTTCATACATCCCATGCCTTAAATGCCCTTCACTTTCATATATGCTTATTACAATGTTCTGGTCATTTTTAATTTCCAAAACCAATCTGTTTCCCCATGAGACCTCACCAGAGCTCTTTGTTCAACCATACCAGCCTCTTTCTCTACAGTGGTCCTATGTAAATGTACATTAAAAACAATCACAAATCACAGCAGGCCAGACATTTTAGTTACTTGTGCCTGCGTGTGACTACTTGTTGTTTTCAACTTGGTTACTCATCATGTTATTCCCCCATAGTACCTAAGATAATGACTTATTCATGTGAAGAATTTATTCATATATGGAAGTAAAAATCCATACAAATCCAAGATAGAAGTAATTAAAAATCCACATATATACACACACATATATATACACATATACATATGGATTTATAATTACTTCTATCCCAACCCATATAGCCAGGATTTTATCCATATATATAAGGATTTTAAGTGAATTATTTTTAAAAATGTATCTATCACACTACAGATCTGGGAATTTTGTATGAGAAGTTACAACTGAGATTGTATCTAAACAATGCCAAAACATCTAGATTAAAAGTGAAACATTCGGTCAACCATGACATTGTTTCCAAGTATCTATATGCTTGGCATTGGGAAAGGAAAATATTTAGATGATGGATGTTACTTTTCAGTTTCCATCTGGATGTTTTGGCTTCATGTAGACACAGTCTCTGACAGTCAACACTGATGACAAAACAATTTTAGGTTTCAGATTTGGTTTTTAGCCCACCCACATGGAGGTAAACAGATTAGTTTGAAGAAGAGAAACTGTTGAATGTCTAATGACATTTATGCTTTCAGCCAAGAGAAGTCTCTGAGGAATGATGATCTCCATTTACATCTTCCCTGACTGTAATTCTACCCTGTTTCATAGAAGAAAGTTGGCCTGGAAATATCCCCAGCTCAATTACCCAGGCGTATCACGAATTTTCAGTAAGACCCAAGTCACGCTGGGCCTCCACATCCAGTGGGGAGAGGGCAATAATTCTGTCCACTATGGTCAACACTAAGAATTAACTGGCTGGAATTGTCTTTGCAGTTTTCATAATGAAATATATCTTCGGGAGGTAACTGGGAGAAACATGGTTATAATGCGATAGAAAGATATGTTTTTTGGTTCATTTGAAAAGGGCTTTGGATTCTGCTTTGCATAGAAGCCAATCGAGATAACATGTAAAACTTCAAGAATACTGCATATTTACTTATAAAACAAATACACTTAAAATCTCTGTGAAACTTTGAAAATAAAAAGTTTAGATTGGTTTCAGAGTGACTGTGTGCAGCAGAGAATTATCGAGTACATATCTGGGTGAACTGTAGGTTAATTATATGGGATTTTCAGAAGTTATTAATGGATGAAATACCCGCATGCACACACACATATCTAAAACTATAAAAGTGAACCAGCACACACTGGAATATTAATATATACATGTACAAAAACTTATACACACATCAATCTAAATACCACAATTCAGCTATTTTAAATGAAACTAAATTTAATCTACCATGTTAATATTTGTTTGTTTATAGTCTTTTGTAAAACCACAAAATTGTATTTGATAGGATACTGGTCTTCAAACCATATTTATCTTCAAATAATAATTTAACAGTAAAATAAATAAGAATTAGTGATTTTATCTTTTCAGGCTATTGAAAATTTACAATTTTCATCACCACTGATCGAAATATAGGATTCAGCTATGTTTAGCCTTCTTAGCAGTCTTAATCTTTTAGTCTCATCCCTCCAGAGTGATGAAAACAAACTTCTATCTTGATTTATATAGCCAAGCTTACTGTCTGATTGGATAATGGATGTGGTCGATCCCACATTTTATCAATGCTGTTAAAACTCTTGCAGTTTAGATAAGCGTAATTGGCACTATTAAAAAGAAATATTATTCATTCTAACATAGCCTGTTGTGGAATTTATAATATCGAAAGACTAGTAAATAGTATACAGAAGGGGTTTTTCTTTGTTTGTTTTGAGATGGAGTTTCACTCTTGTTGCCCAGGCTGGAGTGCAATGGCATGATCTCGGCTCACTATAACTTCTGCCTCCCAAGTTCAAGCGATTCTCTTGCCTCAGCCTCCTGAGTAGCTGGGATTACAGGTGCCTGCCACTAAGCCCAGCTAATTTTCCGTATTTTTAGTAGACATGGGGTTTCACCATTTTGGCCAGGCTGGTCTTGAACTCCTGACCTCAGGTGATCCGCCCACCTCGGCCTCCTAAAGTGCTGGGATTATAGGCCTGAGCCATCGCACCCGGCCAGAAGGGCTTTTCTAAAACTTCACTTAATTGCAACTTTATTTGCACTGTGTTATTCACTATATAGAGAGAGGCTATGTCTAACATTTGTATATCATAAGTTAAAATTACTCAAAAAACTTAAATCAATATCCTACATATTTTCAAATTCATGATTGGCTCTGCACTCTATCATCCATTGTAAATATCATGTCTGAATTTGGAACAATATTAAACCACTTGGTATTTGTAGTCATTTACAAGTCTAAGCTCTTATTGCTCTTACATTCAATTGTGTGACTTTAATCGGTTATAAATTTTTACATGGGATAGAACTGTATATTACATTTTATTTGAATTAGCATGTTTCTGGCAGCAAATAACAGACACAAATATTAGTGACAACTTCTATGGAGGTTTATCATCTACTATAACAAGACTTGAGATAGGGCAAGTGCTTAATCCAACAGATTAAAACACATTCGATAATTTAGGTTTCTTTAGGCTTGTAATTTCTTTCTGTTATCCATTTTCAAAGTTGGTTAGCTTCTCTTGAGAGCTACACATTTCTAGATATCACTCCTTATATAAATATATCCAAAGGTTATGAATGTTTTGAAGACTCAGATAGCAACAAAGTCTCCTACAAGGGACTTTCATCTGTAAAGCACAGTTACCTTCTCCACTGTGCTTATGTTCTTGTCTTTGGAGGCAATGTACCTTATAGAACGCTCACAGGACATTGAGGTCCTTGAAACTTCTAGTAAGTGACTTAAAACATGAGATTTTACAGTTTAATCATTTTGTCTATAAAAGAAACAAAATAAATACATACTTCACAGAGTTCTCCTGTGTGTTTAAATAAATTATGAAAACAGTACTGCACAAAATAGGGCAGGCTTGTAATAAAGTTTTATTTAAGTATTTATTTTATGTATTTAAAATTTTTAATTTTAATAAACAAAACCTAATACTTTCTAAAATTATGTATTTATTTTATTTACCACATAAGTAAATAAAATTTCAATTAAAATATTTCTAGATAGCCCAGCCTCCATATGTCCTGGAATTTCACTGAATACTACAATGACCAGATCCCATATAAAAGCATCTTTATCAAGGTTGGTTTTTCATTCTTTCCTAAGGTTGGCCTTGTTTTCAGCCCCCAGCAGTTATAGGCACCCAGAAGAAATCAGTTCCATTCTTTATCAATGAAGCTGCTATATCAATGTGACTTTATGGGAATACTTGGGTTATACAGGTTGATTGGGCCTCTCCTTTTTCACTTTAAAGTTTCATATTGTTGAAATATTTTTTATTTGCCCCAGAAATAATGTGAAAACAGGTCATTTCTGGGAGATTCCATATTTCCTATTTTTCATACTCACCTGGATATCCACCTTTTTCTCTTTACATTTTTATCTCAGATAATCACTTCTTTTATAACTTTTGCCATTCTTGCCAAGGAATTATTTCAATAGTAGATTCTTTCACTATATTTCTGCCAAAGTCTTTTGATAGTTACCATATTTTACTTAATACTATTTTGAATGTTACTCTTGAGTTCTACTGGCCATTGTCTCTCAATTTCATGAATATATTTTCTCTAAACTGTTTGTACAACATTACTATTAGAATCAAATGACAGGACTGGCTCTGATGTGCGTTAAACCGAACACACCCACGTGGATTGGGAGTAGCCATGGACCAAGAGAATGGACCCCTGGAACCCTTGATCTCCCTTCCAGGACACATTCCTGGCGTGGCATCTTCTACCCAATCACCATAGGCCAACTTTAGGACCTACAAGTGTTTCTTCCCTATGTCCATCTTCCATATAATACCTTTTAGCCTGTGAAACTCTAAGTGTTGATTAAGGTGCAGCACTTTAAGGGGGTTATGGTCACAGCAAATATATACAAGCTGAGATAATCACCCAGGTTTAGAAGAGTCTTCCTGTATTGATAAACAGAGCCACGATGTAGGGGTGAGTAAAAGGATGAGTCTCAGGTGAGGGGCCGGGTGGCCATCCCCAAGCCACATAATTCATAAATGCAAATTTGATAAACATAAATTTGAGAATTCTAAATTTGAATCTAACTTTCCATTTCATTAAAGGGCATATCTGTTAAAGTACTAGGCTAGAACCAGTTTTCTTTAGCAATTTCTTCTCTTGATTTATAACTGCTAAATATTAGCTAGTAACACATTGGCCTACATTTGTATTATCTCCAGGGCTCCCCAGATGGGAGGTTTAGGACTGTTTGTATGCTCTGATTCAATTTTTCTGTAAGGATTTGTAAATTCCGTTGAGCGTATTCTTTAGACTGTATTGACATATTCTCTTTACATAGAGGCATAATTTTGTCATCCTGAAGAGAAAGGACATTAGAACATGATTACCTGTGTTCAAACCCAGTTGTGTGAATTACTCAAATCCTCTGAACACTATGTGCCTCAATTCCTCATCTAGCAAATGCGAATGATTATTTTACCTGTCATATAGGATCCCTTAAAGAAGAAATAAGATAATATATGTTACTGACTTAGAACAGGACTTTGGACATGGTAAACTTTAGGCAAATTTTAGTTACTCTCAATGGTTGATTTATTTCCTAATTTTAATCATCAGTGTCTTTAAATAAATGTCAGAATGGCATGGTTAACTGGATTTCACATCTGTAGTTGCTTTTTTCTGAAGTTTTATTTATGAAATTCTTTTGTTGAGCAAATCAACATATTGTATCTTAAGGAGAGAAAGAATAAAGTTAAGACTTCATTCTGTCTCCAAGAAGGTTAAAACATCAGACAAACCAAACTGATACTTATGGAAAAACAGTAAGTAATACAAGAGAAAAGTTAACAGGTGAATGATTATCTAAAGCAAGTTCTAAGAGCTAGAAGAGTTAAGAGAAAAGTAAGAGGTCAGAGAAAATATTTATGTGCTTTGTTTGTAAACCATATGTGTAGAAAAAAAAAAAAGAAAAATAAGAGCCACAAATAAGAAAAGAGGGGGTGGAAACAAGAAAGCTTTTGATCAGCCTTCTGAGTAACTAGACACAGCCCCAATTACTGGAGTCTAATTTTACATTCTATTTTTGTGCTGTCTAATTTGCTCATCTTAGCCCCAGGTTTCCCTTAGTTTTTCTTTGCTCAATTTTATCTATGTGTGTCTCAGAAAGAAACATAGACTTTCCAGTTCTACTTAATTTCTCCTTCCACTGAAACTAGCCTCTTTGATGCACAAAAAGACGCCAAGTTTGGCTAATCATCATAATTTCAAAGAAGTTCTCTCAGACTATTTACTAAATTGTTACAGGGTAGAAAACTTAGTATCCTTTCGAGTACAGTTGCATATAAATAGGAAACCCAAAAAGCCAAAGAAATATTCTTAACTTTAAATGAATGGATGTCTAATGCTGGAATTTTAATTTGGGACTGAGGAACATCATGGATGACGTAAAGTAAATTACACCATATAAGCAGCATCCTAATATATTTGTACATAAAACTAAGCCATGGAGATGAGTTTGGTCTACATATTTGATTAGATCTCTGGAGAGGCACTGAAGAGAATCCTCACTGTGGAAGGAAACAGAACTTTGTAATAAATACAGACAGGTATAAGCTGCCTATGAATTTGTGTTGAAAAATTAGGTGGTCAGAAGAAAAATGCCACAGCACTGACCTCTAAAAGTAGATGCTAAATCTCTGCATCTTAGAGAAAAGTGTGTGCCTAACAAACATTTTTTTTCTGATGTTTAGGAAACATATTAACAGAATAAATATATTAGCATTTTCTCAAATTTTTCTTTTAAGTAAAAGGATGCATTGTTAATTAAGTAAGTAGATATGAGGAAATGAAATTTTCAACAAGATTGCAGTGCAAAACTTAAAATATCACATTGGTATTGAGGGAAAATCTGAGAAAATCAAGTGAAATGTAAAAAAGATTATTTTCATGTATAGACATTTGATTACAACTCCATTACTTTATATTTTGAGGGTTGTGCTTCATGGCCTAGGAGCTCAAACAGCTTCTTTACACTCATTTTTACCCTAAAATTGTGATATCATAAGAGATGCTGAAAATGTCTTCAAAGTTAATCTTATTCATTAGTTTCAGTGAGAAATACAGCACGTCTAAAGGGACATAAGGGATTTTTAAAGTCACACAGTTTTAATGCGGAGTTTATTTAACCTGCCCTGGGAAAGTGTTTGGTTCAGTTTTGTTTTATTTTAGACTTTATCAAATTACTCTGGAATATGGGTAATGGGAAAATGTAATATTTAGCTTGCATACATTAAAAACTCCAATTATGCTGCTGTATAATCAGTCTGAATTGATAAATAGGTACTTTCTGGAAATGGATTGTATGGTTGGTAATCTTTAAATCTTTCTGCCTATTAGCTGGCAATTTATATTTCTCCTAAAGAAATCCCATTTGGATCTTCTAGTCTCTTTTTAATGAGTGAAGTATATACAAGTGTTCAAAATTAAATACCTATCAGGAAATTCAGATTACCCAAGTGAGTTTAATATGCCAGATGGGGATGGTGTAAATCACAGAAGACATTCTTTGACTAAAAAGAGGAATCTACTATTTAGTGACAGCTAAACTTGGCTTTTGAAAATACAACATAAGGGATGCCAAATATTTCAGGTTTTTCAAGAAAAACCAGAAATATAGAATGGCCTTTAAGCTTAATTGTACTGCCTAATATTGTTATAGGGACTCATTTAGCGTGAAATAAAAGATACAGTGTATGTGACAGTCCTTTCCATTATAGCATTTGATGAGCTTAAATGCTTTATATTCTTTACAATAAATAAAGATTTACATATTCAAAGATGGTACAAAGCTCTCTTAACCTTTTTTCTTTTTATTTAAGATGGAGTCTTGCTCTGTCACCCAGGCTGGAGTGCAGTGGCAGGATCTTGGCTCACTGCAACCTCCACCTCCCGGGTTCAAGTGATTCTCCTGTCTCAGCCTCCCAAGCAGCTGGGATTACAGGCACCCACCACCACACCTGGCTAATGTTTTTGTATTTTTAGTAGAGAAGGGATTTCACCATGTTGGCTATGCTGGTTTCGAACTCCTGACTTCAAGTGATCTGCAAGCCTTGACTTCCCAAAGTGCTGGGATTACAGGCCTGAGCCACTGCTCCTGGCCGTCTGTCAAGACTTTTTAACTGCACATCTCACAAACATAATATCTTCATACTGTATAACATTTACAAATATATTTGACTGATTTGCCATATTTGTATATAGTTTATCCTGATGTTAAAGCTCTCAACTGAAAGAGGCCCTAGACTGTTCAGCTGACCTAGAACAGGGTTGGAAAACTATAGCACTCCAGCTAATTCAGTTTACTACCTATTTTGTGGTATTTACCACTTATTTTGTGAGTAAGGTTTTATTGAAATGCAAAAATACCTATCTTCCATATTGTCTGTGTCTGCTTTCCTGCTACAATGGCAGAATGGAGTGTTAATGAAATAATTATATGGCCCATAAAGCTGAAAATATTGATTGTCTGGCACTTTACAGAAAATATTTGCTGACCCTTGGTCAAGAGGAAGATCCAGGAATCTGAATATCTTTCAAGGTTTCTTCTAAGTAACAGTTATGATCAAACTAGTTTGGCTCTTTCTATTCAATTTTGTGTGCCAAGTTAATTATCAAAGTGTTTTGCAAATACTGGATTGCTGCTGAATGATGTAACTATGAGACAAATCAAATCTTGGCTATTGGCCCAACCATTGCTTCCTTTTTAAGGAGCTGGTCACCTTGCCATGACCTTTCAAGAGAATTCTACTAAAATCTAGAATTCCTAAGTTTACTCACATTATTCACATGAAATAAATAAATAAATAAATAAACTTTATGTATTGAATTATCCAGCTTTCATTCATTCCCTTTTAAAATCCAGTTTATATTGTATGAGGAACAATGGTAGACCATGGAGAACTACCTTAAAGAAATATTTCCATGAAGGTAAATAAATACAATAGCAAATTGGTATACATAGTCTCAAAGTTTTGCCACAGGCATTAAAATAACTTATCTTTTTTTTTGCTTTGTTATCACACAAGAGAAACACATTGATTGTAGAGAAAAACTAAGTAAAATATTTAGAAATATGCAAATTCCAGAAGACATTTAAAAAACATTATTCTTTTAAATCTTTTAAATGCAAATATAAATAAATATTTAGAATTTTAAAATGGGCCGGGCGCGGTGGCTCACGCCTGTAATCCCAGCACTTTGGGAGGCCGAGGCGGGCGGATCACGAGGTCAGGAGATCGAGACCATCCCGGCTAAAACGGTGAAACCCCGTCTCTACTAAAAAAAAAAATACAAAAAATTAGCTGGGCGTAGTGGCGGGCGCCTGTAGTCCCAGCTACTTGGGAGGCTGAGGCAGGAGAATGGCGTGAACCCGGGAGGCGGAGCCTGCAGTGAGCCGAGATCCCGCCACTGCACTCCAGCCTGGGCGACAGAGCGAGACTCCGTCTCAAAAAAAAAAAAAAAGAATTTTAAAATGATAGAACTCCTTGGTGTTTAAGCTCCCATTCAATGCAAGGAATTGTTTCTAGTAACTTTATTTTCATACAATATTATAATCAATTTGTGGTTTCAAAAATATTTGCATTATATATATTAAACCTGCCTCCAACACAGCACCTAAATAATAATAAAGCTACCATATATATAAATTATGTGCCTGGCACATTTCTAAATTGTTCATGTGAAACAATCCACTTATTTTTATAATATGCCTACTAGATAGATATTTATTATAACCACTTTACAGATGTGATGATTGAGGCATAGAAATACTGTATTGTTTGCCCAGAGTTATGGCATCTAAGTGGCAGAACAAGAATTGAATAAAAACTATTCAACTTTGGAAAGTTATTTTTAGATAGTGTCCACAAATTTTCACTGAGTGAAAAAAATCTTTTATTGAATCACTCTGTCTCTTCACGTTTGAAACTAAGATCTGCTCTTGAAAGTGTTTTTTTAGGTGTTTTTTTTTTTTTCTGGAATATCTATATTCTTGTCACTACTCACAGAATTGAAATAACAAAATCTTAAGACAGCCTCACTAAAACAGTAATAACTAAGTTCTCAAGCATTTATAAACTTAAGAAAGCAGAGATAACCAATTTTCTGAGGAGTTCACAATTAAATAATTAAGATAAATCATTTTACACATGCAATTACACAAAATTAATGGCCAACGGATGTACCTGCATACTTTGTAGTAAATATTCATGGTATTCCACTTAGCGTACCCACACTAACCTTAGTTTAAAATCCTCCATCCACACAGATGGTACAGGGGAAGCTATCCACTGTGGCATGATTTTGGCCCTTGACAAAGGTGACTACCAGACAAAAACTAGATCATCCAAACTGCTTCTACACTGTGACTTGAAATCTCAATAACTGATTAAAAATCCTTCCCTTAGTTGAAGTGTAAAATATAAAATTGGATTGGTTACTGATGGCAGCCATGTGTTCTGACTTGAACAGAAAATGAGCGTGAAATGAACCCATGGTGGGAGGCGGTGTGGAGAGGGAGAAAAAGAAAGAGAGGATTTAGCTATCACTGACATGTAAGTTTCTGGTTTCAGTTTTTCTTGAGGCCCCTAAAAGTGTGCAATTTAATTATTCCTTGTTATCCAATATTCTCACAAAGAATCCCAAGTAATACAGTATCAGATCTAACAATTAGAGTTCAAATATTGTGACTTTTACCCATTAAAAGGAACCATTGCCTTAAAATAAATAAAAAAAATTTTCTGTTGGTGCAGGTTTGAAGTAAGTAGAGTTCCTCTATCCAAGCCAGATGGAGCTTTGCTTTCTCTATAAAGAAAGATAGAAATTTAAATTAGTAAATAAAAACCTGATGGTAGGTTTAGACTCAGAAGACTTGCTTTACTGTTAAATCCAACCTTAGGAGAAAAAATAGTAGAATAAAAACTAAATTGTGTGTAGAAGACAATGTTAAATAAACAATAATTCTAGCCTATAACATTTTTATTTTTATGTAATATATAGGGCCTAAATTTTTTAGAAAAAAAAAAGTATTAAAATCTGAAAATCACCCTGTTCATTCTGAGAGAAGAATGAAGCTTTAAAGAATCAAGCTTTAATTTATTGTTTTTTTTTGTTAGTCTCCTCACCCATACTTAATTGGGACCTCTAATAAACATAGTTACCTATTTACTAATCTCTTATGTTGTTTGTTTTTAACTTGTAAGGTTTTTTCTGGTCTTGCATTAAATGCTTAAGAACAACTTTATTTTTAGATGAAGAAATATATTTCAGTTTACTAAACTCTTCAATGTGCTACTTTTTATTCTCTTATGAAAGAGTGGCATTTTAATTGTGACATTACTGATTTAAACTCCTGAGCCCATCTTTAAGAAATAAACTGAAAGGGATGGGTGAAAAGCAGTCTAGTAATTTCATCTAGGCATTGCTTTGTCAGAGAGTCTTTTACCATGAATCATGTCAATCAGTTTGAAAGTGGTGAAGAGCTTACTTAGCAGGTAACTGAGGATTATTTATGAACCATCAAGGCTATTAGGTGAAGTAGTAAATGCTGCAAGGTTAATGAAAGTGCAGGAAAATCTACCACATCCAGTCTTAATGGAAAATTCCTTTACTACTTTCAGACCTGAGAATAGAACCAACTGTGCCTATTTTGAAATATAGCATATCTAGTGATCTGTATTTATGTGCCACAGGAAGATTCATGGCTACCAAGAAATGAAATGCCTTAAACAGTGTAATCATTTGTCCAGTGATGGCAGCAGTGGCCCATCTGGAGTGGCTGCTGCCATGATGCCAGCTGCCACTGGGGAGGTGCGGTCAGGGCTGCATGCTTCATGGAGCCAGGGGTAGTTGGGAACAGGCAGAAGCCCTGCCCCCTTACAAGTTGGCCCAGGTGGGCTGACAACTGGGGCATCCCTGCGCTCTTGGGCAGGAGCCCCACCCTGAAGGGTGCTGCTGCAGCTGCAGCTCCCCTAGCCATGGCTGTGGACCTGGGCATTCCTGTGTTCTTGGGGTCTGGGAGCAGGCAAGGGCCCCACCTTCCCAGGTTCAGTTGCAGCCACCCAATGGTGTCCTGGGCATCTCTGCACTCTTAGGAGCCCAGGAAGGCCCCTCTCCCCACAGAGGCTCAGATGTTCCTGCTCCCACCCCACTTCTGGCACCCACTCCAATCTTGGAGCCGAGTTGAGGCCGAGCCTGGGCACTGGTACAACCTGGCCAGGTGTGCATATGCTTGGGGCACTGCTAATGCACCAGCCCCCTCTGGACTTCAGGCACTGAGGAGCATGGGAGAGAGGCCACGGTGGGGCTGAGGGCAGCCAGGTGCTGCTCTGCAGGCGCCCCTCAGCAAAGCAGAGTGGGTGCTATGAACAGAGACAGGAGGCAGACAGGCTCCTGGGTGGAAAGAGGAGGGCTTGAGGCCACACCTTCAAGCCAGGGAAGGCCTGAAACCTGGGGACCAGGATGCATGTTCTTCAGACGGGAGTAGGAACTTACGTTGCTTTTTCCAGGCTCACTCATGACCACCCATGGACCAATCAGCACACACTTCCTCTCTTCTGAAGCCCATAAAAGCCATGGACTCAGCCAGACTCAAGCAGACAACAGAATGACCAGCTGAGGAGAGGAGCGACCCACTGTGGGTCTCCACTGAGTTGTTCTATCACTCAATAAAGCTCCTCTCCACCTTTCTCCTCCTCCATTTGTCCACGTATCTCATTCTTCCTGAATGCAGGAAAAGAACTCAGGATCCACCAAATGGTGGGGCTGAAAGAGCTGTAACACAATCGGGGCTGAAACATGCCCCTTGCTCACCATGTTGTGGATGACAGGAGAGAAAAGCTGCAGCCCTTTGGGGATCCCAGACTTACGAGCACCTCAAGCCAGGGCTGCGACACCCTTTTTGAGGCTCTGTGTTTCCTGACATCTCCACACTACCGAGCACCACCACATTCCCTGGTGCCAGTCGTCGAAGCTGCTTGTGGTACGCTTGGTCCAGCCACAGCTTCACAGAGAGCTGATGCCTGTGCTGGTTCTTGGAGCTGCTCACCCCACTGTAGCCAGCACGCCTGGAAGTGAGCAGTGGCTGGACCCCATGGTCACTCACTCACATACCTCTTGCTGCTCTGCTCACCCTTGGCAGGCATGATATCCGGGCCAGTAGTATGAGCTGAGTGCAGCCTGCCAGGCCAAGTGGGCCCAGTGGGCCTGGGCAAAACTCGGGCAAAGGCACCACTGTCAACAGATGTTTCTGGATGGCGAAGTGACACCCCTAGTATCCCCTAACACCAGTACATGCAGCTGTTATTTATTTTACATTCAAAACAACTTTATGTGCATATCCTCACAAATTTTTATGCATAAATATATGACTTTTATTAGCACTTAATCTGGATCATTATTCAGTAATTATTTCCAAGTCCATAACAAATCAATGCTATGAAGAAAAAGTCAATTTTTGTGCTTGGTGGTAACAAGATATTGAATATTCCCATATGTCTATTGACATCTGTAAACTTTGAACACTCCAAAATTATTTATGTGTCAATAAAAAATGGTATTCAAAAGTGCACACTGATGTTGCATTTATTCAAAATTTTTTCTCCCTTTTTAGTAGTATCTTGGTTATATTGCTATTATTAAGCAGCTATAACTTTTCATTCATCCAATAGCAAAATATGATTAGAAGACCTAAAAAAGATCAGCGTTTAGTGATACACCGATTTTAACATTTGGAGCCTACTCAATTCCTGTGATGTTTTGATATTTAATAGTAGTGACAGTGGCATTGGTGAGCAAAACTATTTTTTTGATAATCCTAATTGACCATATGTACCATAGAAAGCCTTAAAACTAAATGGAAATAACATCTCCAAAGTTGTCTGTCCTTGGCAAACTCCTAGATTAGACAAAGTTTGTCTCCGGTCACTCAGTTTTTATGGTGCTTCTGTAAACCACTGACAATTCACTCCTGTTCATATTCCTAGCCAACATATTTTAGGTGGCAATCTCTCCCTCTAAGGAAGTGATTCCAAGAATAAATGTCTAACACTTACACAGCACTTCCTATACTGTAGTGCCAAGAACTATACTATGCTATCACCTCATTTGATTCTTAACACAAACCTATCTGGCTCACCATCTCTTTACTCTTCTGGGATCATCTCCTTATTTCTCTAGGTTCATCTCCTTAAATCTTTTTATCTTGTTTATTTCTAGTCCAGCACATTGGGCTTCTTGTGAATATTGCAAGGCACAGCCTTTAAGTGGTCTTGGCACTTCTTTTTCCTCTGCTGGGATGTTCTTACATCAGATTTCTGTCTATATATCACTCTACAAAATGGTTCCCCCTCTAAACGTATATAATTCCTCTCATTACTTTGCTTCAGGTTTCTGTCTATTGCTAAATTACATCTACTGTGTATCTTGTATGTGTTTCTTTGTTCATTTAGAATATATTTAGCGAATAAGGGAAACTTGAGACATATGAAGCATTTATAAATTATATTAAATGAATAAAATAAAAATCTCTGAGGTAATTCAGTTGTGGTACCCATTGTGCAGACAAGAAAATTGTGCTATAGAGGAGATGGCAATTTTTTTGAGTTCATATGGGAAGTAGCAGAACTAAGGACTAGAGTCTAGGCCTGATGTTAATGTTCCCAAGTATAATCACTTCTACTCTCACATTAGCCATGAGTTGACCCATTACCCTTAAGGACATAGAGATTGAGTGGGCCAGGAAGATAGTTTTATTCTTACAAGAGAAATAAGAGGAAGGGAGAGTCCTCACTCTAGAGCTGTTATATTTTCCCTAGGATCACAGTTTAATAACTTTTGTCTTCAGTATATCAACTCTTAGTTCTTAGAATAATAATTTACTTGAAAGTGTTTCAGTACATATAGTGTTCAATTATATGTGTGCTATTTAAGTGCTAACGGTCTAATCAAGGATGTACAGTTAATGGTTGACTATTGGTCAACGAGAATGTTCACACTCTAGAGGCAGCCACTATAATGGGCTCTGCTACTAGTATCTCTATCAACACCTATTTACTAACTCATTTAAAAAATGTCAAATGCAGTGTCATAGCAGAAAATAGTAGTGTTTATCTAATATGATGAATATTATTTATGTTTCTTATTGGAAACATTGAAAGTATCCCAGATGCAGATTGGCTAATATACATTAAAGATCCTCCATCCAAGACACTAAATTGTATCCAAGCCTATAACATGCACCCTAGGATGACTCTCCAGGCTGGTTCCCTAATAGTTCTTTGATGAGGATGGACTCAAAACTTCTGGCTGCCTGATGCTGGCTAAAATGACGACAGAATGCAATCTGTGGTTTATTGTCACTATGGTATAGGTTCAACTTTCTATGAGGAATTGGTGGTAGATAAAGACATGGAGATTTTTCAAACCTAGAGAGTATAATAAAGTTTTATTTGTATGCTAATAAATACTCAATACATACATGTCTGTGTCGTGCCTGAATTTGTTCTGAGACTAGCTTTTATTGTAAATTCATAGGGAAGCTGTGGGCCTAGTAGCCAGCTCTCATCAAACTCAAAATGTTTCCAGTAGCTATGATTATATACAAAAAAAAAAAAAAGAGAAACAGCTTGAACAATTGTATGTGACATATATTGCAAGGCATATTCCAAACTTTAAACAATTTTCATTTATTTCTGAGGTTGTGGGAATTTAAAGGGATCAAAAAGCTTAGTCTAAATGATGAATGCTGTCATTATATCTACTTATCTGCTTTTCTTTGAAGTTAAATGATTTTTCAGGAATTTCTTTTATCATTTCAGAATAGGCAACCTATAAATAGAATTAATAATACTGTGATAATCTAATATTTACTCAGAGTACTCTTTAGGTTAATACTCCATTATTTAATTTTCTATAGTATTAGAAATTATTCTGTTGATATCCTCAGGTTTTTGCACTGCACACACTTAACAGAGAAAAAGTTTATTTATAACCTAAAAACCAATTTCTAATGATATAATATTCCAAACTGTAAATTACCATATTTAGGATAATTATACTTAATTTAACTTAATTACTCAAAAATAAGATATTGCATATTTGTGTAAATAAAACTGTTGATAATTTACTTTCAATGATAACTGGAAATGACAAGACATTTGAAACTACACAAATAATTAGATTAGTACCTTATTGCTGAGTCATCATCTACAAAGCCATCATCAAGGTTATTTTTAACTATTTAACTAAAAAAATTTTTAAAAATAGGAACACAATGTTGAATGAATTCTTAATCCTCTTCAAATATATGACTATTTTATGAATGCTACTTTTTATGATAAAAAATAATGCCATTGTTTCTTCAATAGAAAAATCAATGGTAAATTTTATGAACTAAATAAATTTGGTGCCAAATTAACTTAATTTTAGACTTTTTTCTTTTCCTTCTTCAAATTCTTGATATATTTCTTGGATAACAATACACTATTCTTCTCTTACCTATTGAAATTTATTGCAAAATTCTTGTATGATTATATAAGTTCATACATACATCAGCCTGCTCAAATTTTCAACCCATCAGGATTTTCTGACCACATGTCGATATAACATACCCTAAATTGTAAAATGTAAGCAAGTATTCATATGTCATGGAAAAATCACAAAGTTTTTTTCTTAGTCCCACAGTAAGCTGAGTGTAAGACAAAACACTAAGAACACAAAAACTAGCGCAGTTGAATTCCTCATCAGAAGGACTAAAAATAAACAGCATGTTATATACCACCATACTATGATCCCTATCAGAGACTTAAGCCCAAGATAAAATAAGGGCACAAAGAATGCACATGTGTATTAGTTTTTGCACTAAACATTGACCAGAAAAATTAAAAAAAAAAACCTCTCAAGCCCTTTTATTTTTGGACTTAGATATAGTTATCTTTACTTGGAAATGCCATTTAAATTTCGTATTCATGTGCTTAGTTATCTTCTTGACTCCTACATAATTTTTTTAAAGCAGAAAAGATGATGGCAGGGATAATACATAAAAGTGTATTATTGTCTGTCTTTTTCAACTTACTATTCAGCAAAGGGTTTTACTTTGGACATTCAGTCATATTTCCCAAGGAAATCAATTTCTCCAATGTGTTTGCTTAGGCTCTTTAGAATCTGCCAGTTAATAAAAGTTGTGAGTGCCAGAGCTCAGTGTTTTATTATATAAAAGCCTCTTTACCCACTCCTTTGGGTCAGCTTTATAATGATGAACTGAGCTTTTTCTTAGAAGCTTGATTGTCAAGTGGAATTGAGTTAATTTAGATTATATGAAAAGAAGCAGGTACTAGTAAATGGGATATAAAATGCTTAATTGGTTCCAGAAATGGAGTCAGGCTATAGAAGAAAAGAAATTAAGATTGAGAAGAATGAAAATTAAAATAGACTGGCAAGTGATTTACCCTGCCTTTTAGGGCAAGGTGGCCCGCATTCAGGTAAATTAACCTAACACATAGCACAAGAAGTTCTTCTGATACATTCTGCTTCTTAAAACTTCTGAATCTTAGAAATTATTTTAAGTGTACTTTAAATATGGCCCAAAGTGAAGAAATAACCTGATGATTCTTAATATTGTTATTATTATATTGTTGAGGTGTAGATAAAGATCCTGAGAAACTTAATCAAGATAAAGTAATATTGACTGTATATTTCAAAATATGCTGGGCCTTTGTGCTTAAGTATGCTGGTTTTCTTCCTTCTTTTAATTTTCTCAAAAAATACGAATTCGAAGGCAACATTAAAATTAACACACTTTTGATAAAATTTGATTACAGTTGATTTGGGCCTAATCTCAGAAGATGTGCACGTTTATACATTAGAGTGAAGAGATGAAGTGGAACAACATTTAGATTGTCAGTTAAAGCAGTTTAAATTATGCTAATGACCCCCAAAGCATCCTGGCAGGTGACAGTAAAAGAGGAGATAATAAAATGTTTGGATACAAACTTGCACCTGAGAATAAGCCTATACAGTTGAGGCTAATGGACTCTGGGACCTGTATCCACATTTCTTTGCCAACCCTTAGAAGCTCTTCAGCACCTCTGAGGGGTTAATGTAAATATGAAGAATCATAAAGTAAACTGGAGCCACCTCTGCTCAAAAAACAAATGTAAAAGTATTAAGGATCAGTGAGTCAAAATATTTGTAAGACTAAAACTACCTTAGTGAGCATGTGGTCCTAAGTCCTTCTTTTAAAGAGAAACTCACAAGGTTAAATTAACTAACCAAAGTCACACATCTAGTTTGTGGCTGAATATGAATGAGAGGAATATCTGCATTCTTTTTACTTCCACTGCTGCTTTTATCACAATGCTATAGAGATGAATATATATATATATATGTGTGTGTGTGTATATATATGTGTGGATATATATATGTGTGTATATATATATGTGTGTGTGTGTATATATATGTGTGTGTGTGTGTGTGTGTGTGTGTGTATATATAATGACAACTTGAAAATGTAGCCGTGATGTAGAAACTGTGAGGAAGAAATATTATGTGTGGTTTTTTTTTTTGCTGCAACAGAAACATTAAGAAAATGTAATGGTGCCGATGCCCTATATACATTAATTTGTTTACAATTTCAAGGACCTCTCTCACATCGGCCCTTCCCTATATCTTTCCCTTTTCAAAGACACATTATAATGACATATTCGTAGGTACTGGAAACATATAAAAACATTTTAAAAGATGCTTAAACTCAACCACAAACAATGGAACAGCAATACTGCAAAAACACATTTTATCAATGGAAAATCAACTCATTGAATTGATGACATTAGTGAATAAAAGTAGGTAAAAGGGTCCTAGGATAAGCATCAGTTTAAATGTAAATGGGGAGAAAAATAAGAAAACCTAAAAAAAGGTTAAGTCATTTATGTTGACAAAAAAGCAGAAATTAACAGAGGAGTGCAAGGTAATGGAAGCTAAAGGAGGATGATATTTCAAGGAAGCAAGGAGGAGTCAACATTTTCAGACAATACATGAAAATGTAGACAGAATCCTAAAGTGCTCATTGCAATTAAAAACACAATAATAGTGCTCTGTGTGCTTTTTTTGTAATGTTTATGGAGAAATGAAGATGACTAAATACCAGATTTGGTGTGTTGAGAAATGTATTGAAAAGAGGAATTAACAAGAGCAGACGAAAATTATTACAAAGAGAATTGCTAAGTGGCCAAGCTGAAGGAAAGCTCAGATCTGAAGAAAGCAATGCATGGTTTCAGAGAGAAGTGTTCTATTTATTTTTTATTTTTTACATTTTGTTCCAAGATGGGTGAATTTAAACACATTTAAATGCTGCATGCAAATGAAAGAAGGCAGTAAAGAAAAACAGGTTAGAGGTATTATAAGGATGGAGAAGTCACTTAGATTATTAATCTTTTGACAAATCAATTTTTTTTGAGAAAAGGGTACTAATGTTATGTCAAGAAGAGGTCTTGACATACAAGATCTCAGTTCCATTGTAGTGGATACGAAGAAGGAAATGCTTAGTGTGTTCTGAAAAATGTATGGTGATTTAGAGGTGGAAATGTCAGGCAATTAGGGTTTTTTAGTTTCTATTTTCTCTGTGAAGTGAAGATGGAGATTACAGTTGAGAATGAGAAAACATGACTCTCCAGGAAGTTTGAAAATCAAGTAGAAAGGTGTGAAATATCCACTTTGTGGGAAGCAGACAGCTAGCTATTGATGGAGTGAAGGACTGACAGACAAGGCTGAAGAATAAGAAGTAATGGTGTCACTGAGAGGCAGAATTGGGGTGTTTCCTAAAGTTCTTAGCCATCAGGTGAAAAA